>NC_000013.11:69771742-69923257 GCF_000001405.40 Homo sapiens | reverse complement strand
GTTCCAATTTTCATCAGTATTTAACGTTAATGAACTATATCTATTTGAGGGTTCCCCTGACCTTGAATTTGGGAACAGTCTTTACTACTATTCTTTCTGTTTTACCATTTGATGAACCTTCTTCCCATTTTATCTGGAGTTCACCTCTTTGTTAAGTGTCTCATTCTGGGGAGGGTAAGGAGGATGGAAGAACAGAGAGGGTTGCATTTGCTTCCATCTTCTGTCTCCTCCCACCTAATTCTTTAAATAATTCATTATGTAATATTGAAATTCATTTGCAATGCTTTCAAATATTTCATCTTTATGTATTATTTATTCACTTTTGAATATTTTATATAATATTTGAAATTGAGAGTATATATTAATGTGATAAGGAATAAAACTCTAGTAACTTTCCATGAAAGTACTACCCAACTTAAGGAATAGACCTTTTTAACTACAGTTCTACGTCTGCATGCCTTGAAATCCTCTCTGCTTCTCTTTCAATGGTGAAACTCTCCTATGAGAATAGTGAGAGTTTTGTGTTTTCTGTAAATTTGTTCTTTGTAATATATTTACCAAATATATCTGTATCCCTATAAATATGTTTTTTTAATTTTGCTTGTTATTGAGCTACACAGGAGCTGAATTAAATCATACATTTTCCAATGAAAATGAAATAACATTTTATTATTTACTTTTCTTAAATTAGGAGGTTACTTTCCTTAAATCCAAATCTAATTAAATCTATTTCCAATTTAACATCTTAAGCAGTTCCTATCAAACATAATAAGTATAAGCTATTAGCAAACAGTCTTTTTATAAACTCGGACCTACTTTTCCAGTTATGTGATCACATTTCCCTGTTAATACCTGCTATTTTACTATACCAGATATTTACTGTTCTCCACCATTTCGTACTTCACCACTTTGTGTCCTTACACGTTATTCTCTCTTCTACCAAATATGCCTTATCTTTTCCTCCTCTGTACCCTTAAAATTTTAATTTTCAACTCTGAAATATAACTTCCTAGGCCAGTGTGACGGTTCACACAAGTAATCCGAGCACATTGGCAGGCCAAGGCAGGAGAATCCCTTGAGACCAGGAGTTAGAGACCAGCCTGGGTAACAAGGTGAGATATTCTTTATATTAAAAAAAAGGAAGGCAAATAAATTTTAAAACTTAGCCAGGCACTGTCGTGTGCACGTTTAGTCCCAGCTACTCAGGATTCTGAGGCAAGAGAATGCCTTGAGCCCAGTAGTTCAAGGCTACAGTGAGGTATGATTGCACCACTGCACTCCAGCCTGGGTGACAGAGTGAGACCATCTCTCTTTAAAAAAAAAAAAAAAAAAAAAATCAATCATTCAACAAAAATCTATAACTCCCTAAGTACTCCCTTATCCCTTAGCCTCCCAGAAAGCTTATTATTACTATGCTTTTGTATAACCTTGTTCTTATATCTATGCGGAACTGACTACATCTTTTGTATATTATTTATTCTGAATTCTCATTAGACACTAATTTTTTAAAAGCTAGAGGCTATTGATCTGCCTCAACTAAAATTTGAAAAAATATTGTTTTGATTGAATAAACAAATGAATGATTATTGGAGTGAGGGCATGTAAAAGGGAAACAGAGGAATAAACTTCCCCACAATATATAGAATAGGTGGAAACAGGAAGAGGGTTAGGATTTGAAGGTTTGTCTTCACAATGCGTTGGTATGGCCACGTTTTATTAAATAGGGAGGACAGAGTTGTAAAGAAAGATTGATTGCATGGATCTGGAGCACTATAAATCACTTCAGAAATAATTATAAGTCTGGATTAATTAGACTAAGCAACTCTCCTTCCATATCTGACAACATTTATATAGCAAATGCTTATTTGAAACACCTGAACCACTGCTGTGCAAGACTGAGATCAGCTGGATAGAATCCCATTATGGCACTCACAATGGAGGACAGGGATTATGCCTGCATTAATAGATTTTCTACAAGAGACATTCATTATAAATGATGTTGCAGACAATAGGAGTGACTTGACCTGCTGTGTAACCTTATCTTATCAGATTCCAGTAAGATGTTTATAACGTTTCTTTTTGCCAAATAGGTTTTTAGTTTATTCTAAAGAAAATGCTATTATAATTGCAACTCTGTTTAACTCTCTACTGGTCAAATTTTATTCTGGAAAAAATAGTTGTCCCTTGTTATTTGGTCATTAACAACATTTACATTTTAACATACAGAGGCTCTTCATTTTATCTGCCAAGTTGGTGCTAAAACAACATAAGTTGGTTAATTGTTATGCAGAAACAGACCTTATGGATATGTTAAAACAGGATAGAAGTTAGCATTTATGACTGCTTATGTATTTTTTATTTAATATCCCTGTTTATTTCATGTGCAATCTTTACTTTCTGAGTGCATACAGAGGAGAATTAATGTTTAGAGGTGTTTTTTGTCTGAGATAATATGTAAACACATATTTTTGCTGACCTTCTCTTATTTTTCTTAAGAGCAATTGTGAATGGAAAACTTCTTTGAACGAGAGCATTTTTCACTGATTTTTACTTTTTTGTTCTGTGGCATTTTAAGTATGAAAAGGTATATCTGCATAAAGATTTCCAGGCTGCCATAAATTTATATAAAGTCCAACAGTTTCTAAGGACATGTGAAAACAAACATAAATATCAAAAAAGCCCATTTATACATTGTTATATTGCTCCTCAATATAGTTTTCTTAATTAATTCAATCCAAGGATATATTTTATATTATTTTTGTCCCCTTTTCTGATATGTGTTAAGTAACTTTGCCAAATTCTTCATGGTCACATTTAATTTCAGAATATCATTTTATTATACCATTTTATTGGGTACTGCCTAAATATTTCTTAAAATAGCACTGTGAACCACAAATGGATTAATGCTTCAGATCTTTTAACATTTTTATTTTCTTCCCAACTTTTCTTTTAAAATGATGCTATAAGATTATAGTAATCATATACTGTTTTCCAAAAATTGGAAACTGACAATCTCACATGTATTTTAGTGAACTGGCATTCTAGGAAAGGTGATAAGCTGTTTCCAGAACTCTTTAAAAAAAACTCTTTCAAATGAATAGAAAGAGCCAAAAACAAACAAATTTTATCTATATTTGAGTCAGAGAATTATAATAATACAATATTGTAAATTGTTTTCCAAAGAAAAAACAGCTGCCTAATCTAATAAAGTTAGGCCAAATGAAAAAGACCAGTAATAATTTTACATATATGTTCTTTAATTTACATCATGATACAAGCAAGCAAGTGAGTTATGTGAAGAAGTGGCTTCTGATGTGGAGACATGAAAGGACACAGCTGGGCCATAAGATAAATGAGTATATTCTATTTATTCTCCATCAGCCTAATTAGAATAATGGAATAGTCAGAACTGAAATAAATATATGTGACCTTTTTTATTTTTATTTTTTACTTTTTGCCAGAAATTATAACCTAAACCTAAATATGAGACAGGGCCAAGTATAGAACAGAAAGCCAAATATCTGAGTAGCTTGTTTTGGTAGGTGGGACCTGAGGATTGCTTCAGGCTGTTGTGACCTGCTTGTCCAGTAATGGGGCAAGGTTGAAATCTCAGAACCCTATCCTTAACTTCCTATTAGACCTCTGGACAAGGCTGGCCATACTAGTTGCATCAGGGACTCCATTTACTTGGAGAGAAAATTGGTGTCATTAATGTACCCAAAGTACATTTTTCTGCCACCTGTTTCATTAATCTTTTCCACTCAACCATTTCTGAGCTGAACAAAAAGAAACATACATCAGCAATATCTAAGCATCCAGTTTAAATTCTATGGATAGAATTCAAACCATGTCAGCTAAAAAAAGGATCCAGTAAAGAAAAATTTATGTCTGTCCTAATACATATCAGTCCCAGATACAAATCTCTGTATTCAAAATAATGATAATCATAATAAAAGTAAGCCTTAATAACAAGCACAGATTTCTATAAATAAATGGAGGAAATGAATATTGCATGGGAAACACAGATGCTTTGAAAGAATGTTCTTCTCAGTATAGAAGAGAAAATACCGTTTCTATGTTTCTTTTTATTAAGTATAATATTAAAGAGTAGAATAGCCAACTCTCAAGATTGTTGCTGCTCCTCAGGCAAAATGCCGAATTAGACCATTATGGTGTTAGACAAGGTAGACCACTTCTTCAAAGTTCATCTTTCAGATACATACAACCAGGACACAAAATCACTTTCTAAAATTTCACAGGGATACAAAATATTGGTCAGAATTATGAAGAGTTTGGTATGTTTAACCACAGGTTGTGTAAGGACAAAAATCTAGAAAACTGGGAGGTGATGAAGAGTAAAGAAGCTCTAATTGAGAATTACACAACCCGTGTTTTATAAAGATGATGGAGAGGAGAATGTAATTAATTGACTAGAGAAAGGACACACTAAAAACTGGAATAATTGTTGTAGGCCATTGTGGTAATCTCACAAACTGGCTTTTAGGAAGAACAAGGATTTGAAAAATTTTACAGGAGTGAAAAGCAACAGTTGAAAATTGGAAACTAAGTTCAACCTGACCTTTTGTTATATTGTCTTGTTAAGGAAGACTGTAATTATATTAGGTTTGTTGTTTGATGAAACATGTCCAGTTATTGAAAACATCTGCAGTTAGCTGCCATTAACTAAGTGTGTAAGATATCCCATTAGGAAGTGCTGGCAAGCAAGGTAAAGAAAAAAAAAAAAGCATTTACTCTGTTTCTTTTATATGTGCAAAATTCAATTTCATTGCAATAGATGATGTTGTCCAGGAAAAAATAAACAGTGCATATAAAAGTTTATGCCATATTAAATGAAATATGAGTACTATTTTGGGAGAAAATATGTAGTATTTAATAAAAAAATCACTCTTCGTAATGTTTTACAAATCATTTTTAAAGATAAATCAACTAATTAAAATATGGCAATACATAAAAACTAAAGAAGCTATAGTATTAAAATTTAATTATATTTTAAAATAAAATTTACAAAACTATTAAAGTTTAATTATTTTAGCAGTACTTCATATGAACAAAATTTATTTCAGATAAACAATCATGAAACCACAAAGAAATTCTGCTTTTGTCCTATTAGGTTATCAAAAATAAACAAATAAATATAAGGTAAAGTGAAATACCACATTTATTATTGAGAATGTAAATTCTGCAAGTTATTTGGCCTTTTTGATCAAAATAGCAAGTGTGGGGTGCCTTACAACATATCAATATCAATTTTAGGAATCAGTGCTGTGGAGTACATGTATGAATACAGATATGTAGACATATGTAGACAGTAAAGTACCTTTCAACAATCTTAGTACAGTGAAAAACTGAAAAGACAAAGCTATCAGCAAACTTCGCATGTGAATGAAAATACAGTGTTTTGTGGTTATCACCATGAATTTAATTGAGAATTTACTGACTTCAAAAGATACGTGGAATGTTATGTGATACCAAAATTCAAAAAACAAACCAAAAAAAACCTTGCAAAGACCTATATATGGAAGAATGCATTTAATTATTATCAAAGTGGTTTATGTTTGTTTATAAATGACTGTGTACATTTGCATGTGTGTATATGCTCATGTGTTTGTGTGTGAGTTGTAATTTTTGAGAACTTCCTTGTTTGCTGGCACAATAAAATACTATGGAATTTCCTTGCCACAGAAACGAAATCAACCATTCCTCCAAGGGTTTCTTGTTCCTGTTACTGAGTAATGGTATTTAGAAGCCAAGATCTGATTACTTAATGTGCTCACTGGGACGGGGGTTTTCTTAATTCTAGGTCAGTTTTATAGGCAGTTTAAAAAGTAGACATTTACAGTCATTGTGAATGTAATATGGAGTTTCTTACTTTTGTACATTTTTAAAAATTCTCTCCTATCACTTCATATATAATTTTTAGAATTGGTTGATTTTAGTTTCAGTTTTTAGGAATCCCTTTTGGTTTTAAGCATTTCATTTTATTTACTTAAAATGTAAATATTTATATTATTTAATTGTGAAAACGGCATAGAAGAATATACAGATAACTCTACTTCTCATAAAAATTTTGACTTGCTACAGCTTACTCTTTTTATTACTTTATTTTTTCTTCAAGCGCTCCCCACAAATCTGTGTGTATATGCATACATATATATTTATACATAAAATACACTTACACGTACACATGTGCAAACAATACACATATACCTGCATACACACATATATGTATACATCCATGTTTCTATTTCATATTTTTTCTTATACTTTACTCAAAAATAGCCTACACACTCTTCTGCACGTTTTTCTTTTTGCTTGCACTATATTGTGTATATGGCTTCTAAAAAAATACCAATATTCTGATAAGATTCTTTGTTTTTTAATATTCTGTTATCAATATAGAAATTTACCAATTATATTTATATATGTTTCACATCATTCTGTCGTAAATATAGCCATTTACTATGTGGTTTTTTTTTCACTTTATTTTATTATTTTTATTATACTTTAAGTTTTAGGGTACATGTGCACAATGTGCAGGTTTGTTACATACGTATACATGTACCATGCTGGTGTGCTGCACCGACTAACTCATCATTTAACATTACGTATATCTCCTAATGCTATCCCTCCCCCTTCCCCCCACTCCACAACAGGCCCCGGTATGTGATGTTCCCCTTCCTCTGTCCATGTGTTCTCATTGTTCAATTCCCACCTATGAGTGAGAACATGTGGTGTTTGGTTTTTTGTCCTTGCGATAGTTTGCTGAGAATGATGGTTTCCAGCTTCATCCATGTCCCTACAAAGGACATGAACTCATCATTTTTTATGGCTGCATAGTATTCCATGGTGTATATGTGCCACATTTTCTTGATCCAGTCTATCATTGTTGGACATTTGGGTTGGTTCCAAGTCTTTGCTATTGTGAATAGTGCCACAATAAACATACGTGTGCATGTGTCTTTATAGCAGCATGATTTGTAATCCTTTGGGTATATACCCAGTAATGGGATGGCTGGGTCAAATGGTATTTCTAGTTCTAGATCCCTGAGGAATCGCCACACTGACTTCCACAATGGTTGAACTAGTTTACAGTCCCACCAACAGTGTAAAAGTGTTCCTATTTCTCCACAACCTCTCCAGCACCTGTTGTTTCCTGACTTTTTAATGATTGCCATTCTAACTGGTGTGAGATGGTATCTCATTGTGGTTTTGATTTGCATCTCTCTGATGGCCAGTGATGATGAGCATTTTTTCATGTGTCTGTTGGCTGCATAAATGTCTTCGAGAAGTGTCTGTTCATATCCTTTGCCCACTTTTTGATGCGGTTGTTTGTTTTTTTCTTGTAAATTTGTTTGAGTTCATTGTAGATTCTGGATATTAGCCCTTTGTCAGATGAGAAGATTACAAAAATTTTCTCCCATTTTGTAGGTTGCCTTTTCACTCTGATGGTAGTTTCTTTTGCTGTGCAGAAGCTCTTCAGTTTAATTAGATCCCATTTGTCAATTTTGGCTTTTGTTGCCATTGCTTTTGGTGTTTTAGACATGAAGTCCTTGCCCATGCCTATGTCCTGAATGGTATTGCCTAGGTTTTCTTCTAGGGTTTTTATGGTTTCAGTTCTAACATTTAAGTCTTTAATCCATCTTGAATTAATTTTTGTATAAGGTGTAAGGAAGGGATCCAGTTTCAGCTTTCTACATATGGCTAGCCGGTTTTCCCAGCGCCATTTATTAAATAGGGAATCGTTTCCCCATTTCTCGTTTTTGTCAGGTTTGTCAAAGATCAGATAGTTGTAGATATGCAGCATTATTTCTGAGGGCTCTGTTCTGTTCCATTCGTCTATATCTCTGTTTTGGTACCAGTACCCTGCTGTTTTGGTTACTGTAGCCTTGTAGTATAGTTTGAAGTCAGGTAGCCTGATGCCTCCAGCTTTGTTCTTTTGGCTTAGGATTGACTTGGCAATGCAGGCTCTTTTTTGGTTCCATATGAACTTGAAAGTAGTTTTTTCCAATTCTGTGAAGAAAGTCATTGGTAGCTTGATGGGGATGGCATTGAATCTATAAATTACTTTGGGCAGTGTGGCCATTTTCACAATATTGATTCTTCCTACCCATGAGCATGGAATGTTCTTCCATTTGTTTGTATCCTCTTTTATTTCGTTGAGCAGTGTTATACCATTTTTGCATTCCAATGAGCAGTACCATAAGTCCCTGCTTCTTGAGAGATTTTGAAAAATGTTTGGATTGATGACATTCTGAGGGCCAAAAAGTGATATGTTAGTGTTGTTTACATGTGTATTTCTCTTGTATTAATGAGGCTTTCTCTTAAGGTTAGTACCATTTACACCTAATTTTAATGTAGAACATTTGTTTACATCTTTTATCTATTTTGCTGCCAGCTTGATAGATTTTAGATTAAGAATTCCTATCCTAAATGATTGACCCATGCTTACCTAAATTCTAGGAAAGGATTGTAGATTGTTTTCATGTATACATATATATATTGTTTATATATGACAATTCTGAATGAGTTACAGTGCTGTACAGTAAACAAAATAATAAGCTAAAGCACATGAATACAGTGCAGATTGGCTGAATTGATTCTGTTTGATAACTACAGATATCATGTTTCATTATCTGGCAAAATAACATTTTTAGTGCTTAGCTAAAATTAATAAATAATGATCACCTGGCTTTTAAATGCTGCAGATTCTGCTGTCAAGTTATTTTCTCTAAGCTTGTTGTATTTTGTTGCCTTAGCAGAAAATCCCCTGGATTATTCCTTGTGTATCAAGAGAAAGCCACTGAGGAAACAGAAAATGAGAACAGTTTTTGCGTGTCTATTCCATGGAGACAAATGGATCCATGGAAATCACTAAACATATGATAATAATAATGATTATTAAGTTATATACCATAATTTAGAAATTTTATTGTTGAGTAAAACTCCAGTAGAAATGTATAATGTGAAGATGTGTGCTCTGCGTCTCAGTCAAGGTTCTCTAGAGGGACAGAACTAATAGGATAGATGTATATATAAAGGGGAGTTTATTAAGCACTGTTGACTCACAGGATCACAAGGTGAGGTCCCACAATAGGCCGTCTGCAAGCTGAGGAGCAGAGAGCCAGTCCGAGTCCCAAAGCTGAAGAAGTTGGAGTGCCATGTTCGAGGGTAGGAAGCATCCAGCATTGGGGAAAGAATGTAGGCCAGAAGACTAAACTAGTCTAGTCTTTCCACGTTCTTCTTCCTGCTTTATATTCTAGCTGTACTGGCAGTTGATTAGATTGTGCTCACCCAGATTGAGGGTGGGTCTGCCTTTCCCAGTCCACTGACTCAAATGTTAATCTCCTTTGGCAGCACCCTCACAGACACACCCAGGAAAAGTACTTTGCATCCTTCAATCTAATCAAGCTGACACTCAGGATTAACCATTACACTCTGGAATAAGTGAATTTGTATGTGTAGCCACTTGCACATTGATTTACACATAAAAAGAGTAGTGTAAATAGTAACTACAATATTGCAGTTTTGTAATTGAATTTCATTGAACAAGCAATCCATTCCCTCCTAGTGTCAAATGTGTTGTCTGTTAAAGTTTTGCACATATGAACTTTTGCACCTTTTCCCTGGGAATCATATTTTCCAAAATATATGAAAAGTAATCATTTCTAGTACAAAATGATACATAGCTCTGTTTACGTCACTGAAACAACAAAACTGAAGGAAGCAGCAGGTTCAGGCAGCATCTTTCAATTGTCTCCCCATCGCGTGCACCGCCAGACCCAGAGGTCCCTAAGTGCCTGCGTATGAGGAAGAGACCCTGCCCCATGCCTCTCCCCTGCTGAGCAAGGAGCAGTGGCCATGGTAGTGCAGGTGCTAGTGATCTGGGAGATGCTGGCAAGCTTGGAAGGTGGTCTCCAAGGGGCTTTGGATATAGCTCCCTGCCTCCTGGGAAGCCAAACTTGGGCTTGCTGGAGAAATGCTGTGGCTTCCTTGCCCTAAGCCCTGGTGGGTAAAGTGACTTGGAGTCCAGTTTGAAGGGGGAGCATAGGGGGAGTGAGTTGACGACATGAAAAACAAAAAGGTCTTAATCTGTATGAGACCTCTGATAAAGTATGAGCACTGTGAGGGAGAAAGGCATAGCTGGGTGGGGAAGCACCTGGAACTCCAGTTTGTGGAGTGCATTATCCCCATGAGGGACTAGATGGTGATGTCAGAAGCCTTGCTTGTTGATGACAAAAATATCATTTGAGGTCAAAAGGAGACCCCACACTGGGAGCACATGTTGCTCACAATGCTGCCCACAACCAGCACCTGACCTTGTCCCCACAAGGAGAGAGCTGCTGTCCTGGGGTGTCCACTGAAGGGAGATCACAGAAGGCAAGCAGGTAGTCTCCCAGCAGGACTCAAGCAGCATGGGGCCTCTTCAGGAACCAGCCAAGGGACTGTGACAGTGGATTATAGCTAAAAAAAGAAAAGGCTAGACGACAGAAAATCCCAGCAGAGTTGAGATAAGGGGCAGAGTCTGGCGGTGACTTGGCCTAATGGAGCTGGGAAACACTACAACAGCTGTGTTCTTACAAACTCAGCCACCTGCTACCTCCCAATATAGTTGCACCTGGAGATGACTGGCATGGAAATAATGTGGGGAAATCAGTCAGGAATCTTTTAATAAAAAAAAATTTAAAAAGAAACTGAAAAAGTAGAATTCAGTGCTGTAAAATGATTGCTTCCTGATACATTGTTGAAAGAAGTTATGAAAATTATGATTGAATAATGGCTATTGAGTTTGTCATTGCAAGGAGTAGTGCAAAGAGAGAAAGCCATCACATACAATACAATTTTTTTCTGATACTACCAGCAATTAGTGTTACTCTTTTTTTCTGAGATTATTGATCAGAAATCCATTATATCAGAAGGGATAAATGTACTCAGTTTATTAGTAGAAATGGACTACATTATGTCAGTGGATTTCAAGCAGAGCTTGGATGAAACAGGAAGAAATTATCAACTTTTTCCACTCTGTTGACATGGCAAACAGAAGCTTTGAGTAAAGACCACAGCTAAGGAGAGAAGACCCCATATTATATATATGGATGATCACCAGTTTTAAAGCTTTCTCCCCTCATTTTTCTGAGGTTCCATTTCCAAAGAGCAATTTCACATCTTTATCTTAACAAGTTGAGACTCTTCATTCTAATTATTTTCTGAAATTAGTTGGGGAAGTTCAACCAAATAGAACAGAGATCTGGTTTACACTTCCACTTATACTTCAGATTGCCCCAGTTTTAGGGACCACTCTTCGTGTTATTTAAATTAGTTGTTTTACATAATGTGGGCAGTAATTAGGAATGAAGATTGGTTGTTGTCTAGCCTAATCTACCTTGAAGGAATGTCACAAGTAAATTTGGGAGATTTTGTAGAATTGACCAAGAAAGAGATTACAATAGAAAAGAACTGGGTTTCAAATCAATGAAATATAATATATTTCATTTAGTGGCTCAACTATATGCTTCATATCACAAACCAGGTATTTCCACAGTTGATGTGGTAATACACAACATAAATGAGTCCTTAGTGCACAGAAGATTCAGGACTAGGAAATGGTAGAACTGATTTTCTTAGCATTGTTTGAGTTACTATTAGTGCTTTGGGCTTTTTTTTTTTTTTTCTTGATGATATTCCTATACCTAGCTGCAGCCAAGATTTGAGCCTACTCATGTAACATGTAAGTACTGAATATTTGTAAAGAGAATCCATTAACATAACCCCTAATAGCTTGCTTAAATGGAGCTACTCAGCAATATATTTCATATCTGGAAGAATGTAAACTAACCACTTCAGAGCCAGAGGGTCAAAATTTTTGATACCAGAATTCCAAAAATGTCACTCTTTGATTTAAAAAAAGTGAGTTTGATGCTTTTTCAACAATTGATTTTCTCCCAACATGCAGAAATTACTGTTTAACTAGACATACTAAAAATTATATTCAAATAGTACAGTTTAAAAGAAAAATGTATTAGGAATCAATTCATTGTTAGCTATTATAAAAATTGTGAATAATTTTGGAATGGAAAATGAAAAAATAAGAATTAAAGAGAAAGAGGGAGACAGAAGAGAGAGAGAGAAAGACAGACTGATTACTAACAATTCTAGGGAATGCTAGCAGTTGTCTAGTGTACCTTCTGGGTTGTCTGATTCTATACTGATCTTTGAAGTATTTTACTCTCAAAGTATTTGCATTGCTGATAGTACTGCAGATTATTCTTGCCTATAGAGGTGTAAATAAATGTTGTACAATGGTAGTAAAGTTTCATTCAGAAGTCACTTTTTCATATGCTAACAAATTCATTGCTTATTTCCTGATTGCTTATATATGTGTCCTCTGGCTTCTCCTTTGAACTAATTATAACATCTTATCAGTTCCCTCCTTAATTAGTTAAATGAACCATTTTACTTATGTCTATTTTATATTTGTATGAGTGTCATGATTTTATCTTTTTAATGAAATTGGGCTTTATCACGTCTATCCAGTGAAAATATTTGGTTTTCCAGTATTTGAGTGTTTTATATGAATTTTTTGTCTGATAAAGCATTTATAATGGTCCTTAATGAGAAATTTTCCCATAATTTCTCAGTCTATGTTTGATAGGAAGTCTAGAACATTATCTGAGCTTGTCTGCTTTGTTTAATATTTATATCCACAGCCATCCGATACCCGAAACATAGTAGTGGTTTCTTAATAAATAATTTTGATGGCCGTGGTATGAATAAACAAACAATTGAAAACCCTTGTTGCCTTTCCTAATAACATGTAAGGTAAACTCTGATTTACTAATACATCAGTCAAAATTAGACAAGAAATGACTAGTATGATTGACATGGGCCTTAACCTAGAGGCAAACCATTCTACAGAGTGGTGTCTAGATTTGTAATGACTTCAACAACATAACACTTTTGACTGATATAAATTAATTATTTAATACATTTTAAATATTATATTTCATTTTTATATAATGATGTCATGGATCTTTGAATGTATTTTTAACTTAGTATAATTATTTGTGGTGCACTGACCATATGCCAAGTGTTGTGCAAACATAAGGAATTCGTGAAGCAGTCTACTAAATTTTGGAGGCCAGGGAAGTCCAGTAAATATACTTTAAGAACTAGCCACACATGCTTCATTTTATAGATGATGATAGCGAAGTGGAATATGACAATTATTTTTTTCTACTGAAAAACATTTTAGACAGTGAGATTTGCCAAACCTTTTAGAAACAACAAAGGAAAGGATCCTTGACGCTGTGAGAGGAACTTAAGGAGGACTCCACGGTTGACTGAATGCCTCACAGAGGCCTGGGGAAAAACAAAATGAAACAAAACAAAACAAGCAAAAACAGTAAAAAATTTATAATGACACATTAATTAGTGATAATTTTGGGGTATAATAAATTGCTTTTACTAGATTTTCTATTTATCTTTAATAAATTCAGAGTATACAGTTTTGTGTATTATCTTCACACAGCCATATCTTAAATTATAGGGTCTTTTCCAAAAATTATTTTTAAGACCCCAGAACTCATGCATGGAATGAATAGGAGAATTTTATTGATCTAAATTATTATTATGTGTTAAATTATTGAAAAAGTATTTGGAAGGTAATGAGAAAATATCTGGACTTTTGATTTTTTTAAAAAAAAATTATCCCCAAAAGAAAAACAATAAAAATCTGAATGTTTTGCTTTGGATTGCTCAATAATGATTTAATTTAGATTTAATGGGCTTTCTTTTCTTTGCTTCAAATATTTGCAGTTTTAGCCTCTTTTGTGATTAAAAAAATTCTTTGGAATAGTATAATGTAAAATATTTTGCACTTGGGTTATTTCTTCAGTCTAGAAACATTATTTATATGAATGTAGATCCCTTTGGCATACATCCTCTCTGCATCTGTAAGTGTGCTTATTCTGTGCAAGCTTTGCCATAAAGTAGAGGCAGTTAAGATTTCCTCTGGGCTAAAATATGACAAGTAAGCATCTAACTTACAAATATATTCCACTTTCTCTCTCTCTCTTTCTGTCTTGAGCATCCACTTATTTGTTCTCCTTTTCACATAGAATTCTATTAATATAATAGGATATATATATATTTATTTTACATAAATACTATATACATGTATACTAAATATATGAGGTAAATAATCAGAAGTTGTTTTTAATTTAGATGAAGCCATATTTAGGAACTAAATTTGCCTTTAATTATATAAGTAATATTAAATTAGTAATTTTATTATACCTAGTAAATTAGTATTATAGAATATTTAAAATATATATGGAAAATAATGTAGCCTAAGAAAGGAAAAACACTCTTTTAACACTGTAAAATGTTGAACCATATACTATAATAAACTCTACATTACTGGATGAAGTCCAAGGAAATATTGATAAAAAAGGAATTTATTATTCTGTTCAGCCTTTATTTATCAAAGGAGACAAAAATAATATAAACCAGTATTCTCTGTGACTTTGGAAATTGATGTCTACATAAGCTATGGAAATTCATAGGCATTATTTTTGGTCAATAATTGTACAAGGTATAACATTTGAAAACATATGCAATAATTCATAAATGAAATATATATTTCCTTTTATTTGTCTATAAATGAATCTTTTATATTTTAGTGAAAGTGGTTTTTACGTTTTCTCTTCAAATTTTTTGCATACTAGATTTAGGCAGTAAATAAACTATATAAATGTTATCCTTCTGGGTTTATAGAATTTACTATTTGAATGTTAGTTTGAGATATAGAAAGAATAACTATTTCAGGAACTTTTTTTGTCAAATCTTCTCTCACACCGTTTCTTTATTGTATTCAAACATAAATTACTCTAGTAAGTGAAACTTACACTTTAATCTGCATCTTCCCATCTTCTCGGCCCTTTGAAATTATTTCTGTTTTTCCTCGGCTACTCTCTCTCTATCCCTCTCACTCACCCATTCCACACTAACCCCCATGGTTCTGGCGTCTCTTCTCTTCTCTTACAAATCTATACTCTGCTGGTATACCCATAGCCCATGGCTTCAACAATTATTTACAAGCTACACCACAAGCTACAATCTCAGTCCTGAGTTCCAGAGCTCATTCCTCTATCTCAATCTCTGTATATGACAACTACTGATATTTAGTATATTCTAATTAAAGTAATTATCTTGTCCAACACATTCATCCCACCTCCTGAAATTTCCTATATTGGCTTCACTATCTACATGGTAACTTATGCTAATAAATTGGTGGCTGAAATAGATTCTCCCTTTTCTTCACTCCCACCATCCAAGTAACTTCCATGTATGAAAAATCTTATTTTGAAATGTCTTTAAAATGTCCTCTATGTTGCTCCATTTTAACCTATCCTGCATCCTGCTAATAGTCTTTTTATATAAACTTAATCATTGTCCTATTTAAAAATCTGAGAATTCTGTGAATTGGTTTCCCATTCTCTGTGATATCAAGATCCAATGCCTTGCAAGTCCACCAAAACCCTCTTTAACAATGCTCTATTATGTTCAATCAGCATGTTTCTAATTATCCCCTTTTTCTATCCTCTCCAATTTTTCCCACAGAATACAGTTTGTATTACCCATATTGCAGTTAACTTTCTTGCTACCTTGTCTATCTCTACCCATGACTTTCAATATCTAGCGAAGTATTTATATAAGTAAAACAGCTATTCATAATCTAAATTTACATATAAACACAAATGTTATTAACAATTGTTAATTATAAGTAATATATAAATTCTTAAAATTTTTAAGAATTTCTCTAAGCACACAACTATCATGTAAATAAAGGAAAGATTCTACTTCAGAATATTACAATAGATATTTGCCATTTTGGAAACACTTGCAGTGTCAATGTCAGTGTTGGTTGTGGTATTTGAGTTGTCAATCTAACATTCACACTTTTTGCTTTTATACCCATGGTTCATCTAAAATGGTGATATATTTATTTAATACGCCTAAAGGTCAAATAGTTTTTAAAAATTAAAATTGTGTTTTAGAGCTTTGCTCACAAACATAAGCCACCAATGAACCTATGTTACCAACCTATCAACTGCTTCACTGTTTTTAAGTGAAGTAGGGATTAAGGAAAACTTTGTTAAGAAATAAGTGACACAGATTGCAAAAGCATTTTATACTTCTAAGATTTAAAGGAAAGTTTGAAAATCATAGACAATATTATTAATGTGAAAATAAGTAGTTTAATCAGAAAAGTGAGAACTCATTTTCTTTGCAAAATAGCATAGATGATTTCAAAATATGGTAATTTAGTAATAGTCCTAAAAACTGAGAAAGCTTGCTAATGTAACCTAAAATTGAAACTATATTTTTTCTATTCCAGTGAGAGTTATACTATCTTCAGTAGATTTGATAAGATGGAGCAAGATGTCAAAAGTATGTGTAATAAATTCAGTCAAATGAATTTTTATTATAAGTGAAGAAAGGATCATGTAGAAAAGTCAGAATATAAATTTTTGTCTCTTTTGTTAGCATGCTATTCTAGGCCTGAAAGAATGAAGCTTTAAAGAAACCATATTTAAAAGAAATTGTTATTCAAGATAAAAAGAGAACAATAAAAATGTAATTCTAAGATTGTATTTGCTCTCATAATTAATAAGTATTCCATAAAATTTAGAAAATTCAAACCAAACAAGCAGAATTAAAGAAAACACTCAATATATCAACACTAAAGAATAACAATTTTAATATTAATTTGTATGTTCTAGCTCTGTTTTCCCGGTTTGCAAATACAGCCGATACCTTAATCAAGTGGGTCTTGAAGGGTGCAAAAAACAAACAAACAAACAAAAAACACAGAGATTCTTCTTATAACTGTCCCTGTGAACCTACGCCTTTCCTTGACCACTGAATAAAATCAAAGACAAAGACCATTATTTTTCTGATGAGTTTTAGGTAATAAAAATTCCCCCAGGAAACCTGAGTCACAGAAATAGCTTCACTTCTGTAATTAAAATGTCCAGTCTTATCCAATACTTATTAGGTGAATCCTCTGGAACCCCAGTAATTACTTAATAAGTGAATAGTTCTCATGCGGTATTGAGAAGGAAATAAAGTGTATAGTGTATTTACCTACTGAAAATTCCCAATGTGAAGCCACTTAGCTAATCAAAATTCTTTACGGTTACTTTATTTCCTTGAGAGATTTCGAAACACTGGATTAATTTGGGGACATCAATTGATTAGCATGGTCATCATGTTAAATGATCTCCTGGGTTGCTGTGATAATTTACAAAGAATCTCTCATGTGTACATTTTCGAAACTTTGACTTATTTCATCCAGAGCTCTATTCCAAGCCATTTATCGTGATTATTTTAGACAAGGAGAGTATGTCGTGTGATCCTGAGCATAAACTTTTGTAGATTCCCTGAATTTTAATATGCCCACTTAG
Source organism: Homo sapiens (assembly GCF_000001405.40). Taxonomy (NCBI): domain Eukaryota; kingdom Metazoa; phylum Chordata; class Mammalia; order Primates; family Hominidae; genus Homo; species Homo sapiens. The sequence goes on along the minus strand of NC_000013.11, from coordinate 69,905,771 downwards.
AAAAGCTATTCAAAGCAGCAAACCTTATTGTACCTCACTGTCCTCATCTAAAAAAGGAAATAATGATATTATTGTTCACTGAATTATTAGAATTAAATAATACATTTAATAGCTTAAAAACTTAAAGCATGAAATCACAAGTTTATTATTGTTGCAACCATATCAAATCTTATGCAGTTGGCAGGAATTCAAGGCTTTCTCAATAGGCTAGATCAATTGAATTTGGTCTTACTTTTTAATATCTAGAATTTAATATCATTTATATCATGGAGTTGATCAATAATTTAATTCATGAAAAGGGGCAATTGTCATATTACTTTTCAATATTAGTAACTATAAGGGATATGTAACTAATGCCAGCATTTGGTCAATTTAGACTATAAACAGAAGAAAGAACACCCCAAGTTCAGTGCATGGTGCTCTTATTGACATACAATTTTTAAAAATTAGTTCAAAATTAAAGGCATGATTTTAACTTTATAAAATTCAAAGAGCACTTCTATATTATCAGCATCGTTACTACATACAAGCAAGTGGTCTTCACACCACATTTTAAAAACCAACATGTAGATTCCATTACATTCTGTTGGACTAGGCAAAACCATTGCTTGAAGATTTATGACAAACATAATCTATCCTAACCTTGGAATTGAACCAACCCAGATAATCACTTCTATGTTCTTTGTGGTTTGGAGGTAGGAAGCAAATTGAATTTACAGAAAACAGAAAGGTTGTAACAAAAGCAGTTTTCAATGCTCTCTTAATTTTCTCTTTCAGGGTAGCCATGATATAGTTAGTTTTGCAGATTTTCCATTCTCTAGTTATTTTATTAAGGCATATTATTATTGTAGAAAATGCAGTTATGGGAATCAACAGAGAGATTAACTACAAATCCTTGGTAATGAAGATTCCAAGGCAGTTAAAGGAATCATATTATGAGCAGTGATTTAAAAACTCAGTATAGTTCAGCAGCATTTTATTTAAGCCATACTGAAAGACAACATAACTTAATGATTAAGCGTAAACTCTGGAGCCAGACTGTCTGGCTTTGAAGTCCTTCTCATTCATACACTGTGTAAAGTTGTATTATTTACTTAAATTGTCTGTGTTTGAGTTTTCACAAGTGGCAATCATGAATGGCCACATAGATTTTGACTTTTAAGAGCAATTGTGAGAATAGCATGTATAAAAATGAGTTACTAATAATTGTGTAAAGTTGTATCTTTATATAGTACCAGGGCTAATGGGAATAAGATGCATAAAGAATAATTTCAATTTAGTGTAAAGACTGTATTACTAGTCAACTTCAGCTCTTTCAGTTGGTAGAAAGTTTGCTTTGACAGGAGAAATGAGAACGTTGGAGATTTATAAAGATATTGAGGAGGGATTTGCACCATAGAAATCTCGCTGAAATACATATACTTTTTTATATTCATATTCTATTATTCTCAAGGTGAGAATCTTTATAATGATAACTTCAGCTGTACCAAATAATACACTGGTTGAGACTCATAAAATTTAAACAAGGTAATATTGTCAGGAATTCTACTTTCATATTTCTTGGCTTCAGCAAAGTTTAAACTTCCAAACTTAATGCATTTTATTTTTCTATTATTAAATGATAAATATTAAATTATTTTCATGAATCTTCTTTAAGATCACTTTAGTGTTCAAATTAAAAAATGAAAATCTCTCTGGTCTGCATATTAATATAATAATATATAGGTTAAATTTATTTTACTGATCATTTCAAGTGGGTCTCTTTAAATACATAGGGCATATAGTAAACATTTCTTCAATGAACATAAAAAAAAATATATCAAGTATGTGAGGGCCGGGCGCGGTGGCTCACGCCTGTAATCCCAGCACTTGGGGAGGCCGAGGCAAGTGGATCACGAGGTCAAGAGTTCGAGACCATCCTGGCCAACATGGTGAAACCCCGTCTCTACTAAAAATACAAAAATTAGCTGGGCATGGTGGTACGCACCTGTAATCCCAGCTACTCGGGAGGCTGAGGCAGGAGAATCGCTTGAACCCAGGAGGCGGAGGTTGCAGTGAGCCGAGATTCCACTACTGCACTCCAGCCTGGTGACAGAGCGACACTCCATCTCAAAAAAAAAAAAAAAAAAAAAAAAAAAAAAGAATGTGAACAAGGGTTTTCTGCAAAGGAATCTGCAAAAAAGAGATGTTATTCCAGTGAGCAGTTTGCAAATGAGACACAGCCCCTCTGGTATAAAAGAAAGTGCTTTCTAGAGAACTAGAACGAAGAAAGGGTTTGGGTTTTATAGCAAAAGTTCTCACTCAGATTTCAATCAGGCTTGTTTATGCAATTGAATAATGCAAACTTGCTAAGTGCTGACTGGCCACCACAGCTGAGTTCTGATTGGCTGGGGCAGATGCGCTCTGGTGGGTTTGTTTAAATGAGCTGGAATTGGTTGGTTTCCAAGCCTCGAACCAGAAATCTCTGTGAGATATTTCTTTCAAAAGGCAAGTGGGGGTGTGGTGGGTTCTGGCTGCAGTTTATCTTGGCACCAGCAGTAGGAAATGGTTTGGCTTCATTGCAGAAAGAGAGGTCCTGTGATACTTTTACCACATCTTTCTGAGAACTTAGAGTACATGACCAATCCCTCACCCAGACATGGCTGCTTGCTTCTGCTTCAACTCACCTCAGTTAGCCACAGGGAGTCCATTGAGAATCCATCTATTTGAATAGATCCTCCATAATAGATCCTTTAATAAGACTTGTTGCTTTTAAAATGATAAGGCACACTATATTGGAAATATTTAACAAGCAATCATACATACTTTTTCATTATATATATAATGGAAAAGCTATGGTATTGAATTATCTATTTATTTATTTTTTATTATACTTTAAGTTTTAGGGTACATGTGCACAACGTGCAGGTTAGTTGCATATGTATACATGTGCTATGTTGGTGTGCTGCACCCATTAACTCATCATTTTACATTAGGTGTATCTCCTAATGCTATCCCTCCCCCCTCCCCCAACCCTACAACAGACCCCGATATGTGATGTTCCCCTTCCTCTGTCTGTGTGTTCTCATTGTTTAATTCCCACCTATGAGTGAGAACATGTGGTGTTTGGTTTTTGTCCTTGCGATAGTTTGCTGAGAATGATGGTTTCCAGCTTCATCCATGTCCCTACAAAGGACATGAACTCATCATTTTTTGTAGTTGCATGGTATTCCGTGGTGTATATATGCCACATTTTCTTAATCCAGAATTCTCTCTTTCAGTACTGTAGTTCTCCAAAATTATTTTAATTCTTCACTATTTACCCTTTAAAATGTTACAATACACATCACTTGACTGAAAATACTCTTCAAGTATACCATGATAAATCTATGTCCTTTTTCTCAGTTCTCATTGTCCATGAGCTTTCTATATTTTGTTAATTAACCTCTACTTAAAATGTTCCTGTCGTTGCCTTCTCTACCTCATGAGAATCTCCTTTTCTTCCTGTTCTAAGACCAGCCCATGTTGAACAAACATGAAAGAAATTTAAAACTTCATTAGTTAAAAAATCTCCAGATCATATCTTTTCAATACCTTTCAGGAACTTACATTTCTGGCTTCCTGTCAAATATTTCCAATATATTGTGCCTTATCATTTCAAAAGTGACAAGTCTTATAAAAAAACTCATTGTGGGCTGGGCGTGGTGGCTCACGCCTGTAATCCCAGCACTCTGGGAGGCTGAGGTGGGCAGATCACCTGAGGTTGGGAGTTCAAGACCAGCCTGACCAAGATGGAGAAACCCTGTCTCTGCTAACAATACAAAAAAATTAGCTGAGCAAGGTGGTACATGCTTGTAACCCCAGCTGCTCGGAAGGCTGAGGCAGGAGAATCGCTTGAACCCGTGAGGCAGAGGTTGCATTGAGCCAAGATGGCGCCATTGCACTCCAGCCTGGGCAACAAGAGCGAGACTCCGTCTCAGAAAAAAAAAAAAAAAAAGAAAAAAAGAAAAAGAAAGAAAATGAAAAACTCATTGTGCTCCACAATATGTTAACTATCTCCTAAACTTTTCCATTACTGCAACAGATATCATCAATTTATTTTGCAACCACATTGCAAATTTGTTTCAAAATTTAGGTCAACATTCAAAAATTTGATCACTATTTACCCTTTAAAATGTTACAGTAAGATTGTAAACACATCACTTGACTGAAAATACTCTTGTCCCTAAACCCATTCTGCTGTATTTTTTGTTTTCTTTTGCCAAAAATATGTCATCTGTCTATCCCTGACCAGAGTCATCATTGTCACCCAAGCATATCATAGACACTTCTTTCAAATTGTCTGCAACTCTTCCTTCATTGTTACATTTAATTTATCCCTCAACTCATTCTTGGAAATTAATTTACCTACTCTAGTCCTTAGTACTATCACAACAAACAAAGTTAAGTGTAAAGGTGACTTAGGTTAAAGTGCCTGCACAGTAAAATAAATATTAGTTACATTTATATTCTTGATAATGGTAGGACATTTTCTTGTGATGTGGGTTCTTTTTCATTTTTTTTCTGTTTTCACAATTAAGAATTAAAATATGTTAACCAAAATAATATAAATTAACCAAATAAGTCTTTGCATTTAACCAGTGCTCTGTAAATGTTGTTTCCATTCTATTCTATCTATTTGCATGTACAGTGTCTTACAAATGTAAATATGACATGAGTTTCTTGTTTCTGTTTATGGTAATAATTAGATAAATAATTGATTCTTTCACAAAAGGAAAGATGTGTGTTTTCCCTAGAACAGAACCAAAGACAAAGCTAATGGACCAAGGTTTTTTTGGGATATGCAGTCTCAGGACTACAAATTTGAGGGGGAACAGGAAAGGAGGACAGGAAGTAGGGAAACCAAATGCAAGGTGATGTATTTCTCAGCTGTTCACAAATTAACAAGAAAATGGAGCTGGTAGTTTAATAAGGACAGATGCCTTCTAAACAGGCCATGTGGAACTACTGTGATGTAGAGCTGTCAATCAATGGGATAAAAGGAAAGGAATTATCTGCCAAATAATCTTGTCTTCTTTTTCTCAAAGATCAAAGTGTTTCCCTCTGTCCATGATGTCTGTCTCTTCCAAATTATGTTGGCCAACTCTGTTTGGCTGGTTTATATTCTGGATCCTAGTGCAGTAAAACTTTTACTGTGTCTACCAGCAAAAGTGCCCTTTCCACTAAAACCCGGCGTCTCTTGCTCAACAAATCCTAAAGGTGTGGGTAAACAAAGCACATATTCGTAAGTGGATTACTGGGAACAATGGTGAAAAACGCTAATCCGAAATCCACATTTTGTTTCCCTTACCCGTAAATTCTAATAACTGGGGATATATAACCAAATGTCAGCTGTTGGTTCAATTCATATGCTGTGTCTTGGAGAACCATGCTGCAGCATGCATTGAGGTATATTCAAAGCTGGTGTTTAACGTGAAGTTTCATGAGCTATATGGTGAGACCAATGAATATTACGTTCATGAGCCCATTGTTGTACTGTATTTGTCATAAAATAGGTTCATTTTTCCAAGGAATATTTTTAAGTATATGATACCAATGAATCCGAAATTTTATAGGCAATTCGATGTTATTGAAGGGCATAGAGGCAAACCCATATCCAGAGTATTCATCTATTCCAGAAAATATAAATGTCTGCCCCGCTCCAAGGTTGAAGGAGACCTATGTAGTTTACTTCCAACAGCTGGCTTATCTCTCCTAAAGAGGTGTGCCATATTAAGAATTAACAATGTTATAGTAAGTTCAGCCTTTGTGAGGGAAAGCTCATATTTTTAAGTCCATTCATAACTTCTATTTTGCTGTCATGGTCCTCTGCTTGTGGGCCTATTGTAGCAACAGCTAAAGAGTGAAAATAGCTATTGTTCATAGTACAAATTATTCTGTCTACCAGATTGTGGAGAGCTTCCTCTCTAATGGATACTGTCTGCTAAGCTGCTAAGCACTCAAGAAAGATTCTTTGTGATCACTCCAGTATTGTCATTTGGTTATCCCAGACCTCCTTCCCACTGATCTTTCTCTATTGTTCCTTTCCGGCATCTCAACAGCTAGCAAAGCTATTTGCCAGTGCCTAGAAAGCCGTGTATGTTCCTAACTAAGGCCGTCTCACTTTTTCTTCAGAGTAGGCATCCAAGTGTGCTGTTCACAGCTTTGCCTACAAGATGGATTTCTTTGTATAACTGTTATGACTAGCATCAATATATCGTGTTAATGCGCTTCTCACCTGGGACTGAGTTCTCTCCTTTTTCACAAATTTCTTGTAAGGGGCCCTACTTAAGACCGTAAGATTGAGGTGAAGAATAGGCATGTACTTCTTATGCAGAGGATGACCTTGCCACACAATTTTAGATGAGTGAACCAGGATTTTATCAATGAGAGTAGCTTCTTTCTTTTCCCAGCATTCTTATCCCCATGTATACTTCCAGAACTAACTGATTTGCACATCATATTGTGCACACTTCAGGGAAGCTTGCACAACCACCTGGATTTGCTTGCCCTCACCCCATTAGAAATGGATAGTCTGAAGAGCCATGCAACAAATCGAGTCGAATCACATTTCTAGTTGCTTTCAAAATTCAAAGATATCCAATAAATTTTGTGCCTCATTTTTTTTCTGGATATATTCTTCCTCCTTACAACCTTCCTGAGTTTGGCTTGTGTTTCTTTCTTCTAGCTAACTCTAGACACCCTTTGTAGAGGAATCACAAAAAAAAAAAAAAATGTGTAATTTTTATTGCATTTGTGATATCAATTGCAGCTGACCAAATTCCTTTAGCTTGAGTAATAATCCTTATGACAGACATGTCAGATGTCTCTAGCACCAAAGACTGAATACAGCATTGGACCACTTATAATCAATGGTGAGTCTCCAGGCCTCGTTCACAAGCCACATGTGGCATTGAATCCTTGTGCACAAGCTACATGTGGCATTGAATAGAAAAAAATGTCTCAAGGATAGTTTTTTATTTTTAATTTGTCAGAAGAGGCAATGGCACTAGGTATTATTAGTTGGATAGGTTCACAGTTTTCCACATTCCCCACTAAGATATCCCTAATGTCAGCAAGTCCTTTTGGGGCTTGGGGGTAAAGATGAGCAGAAGTACATATAAACAATGCATATATAATAATAACATATTCAATAGTGGGGCCATAACACTGAAGTTTATAGGGGTTCAAAAGAACTCACTCATATCTGAGCCTGACAAGGGTCTCATTGGTGGTGACCTCAGATCCAAAAGCAAAGAGTATTATTTGTTTCCCTGCATCCTAGTGCCAGGTGTTGCAAGTGTCATTGTCACCTGTGCACCACACAGCCAAAAGGACCAAGAAGTGCACTTCTTTCCACCTCTCCATTAAACTCTGGTCTTGGCATAAGACCTCTGATCTCCTCTGGGGTGCACAGGAACTCAGGCAAACTCCTTGTCTTGGTTTTAAAACCCAGTCCTGAGGTCCATGTAAAAGTTTGCAGGGCTCTACATTTCATCCTTAGGCTTACTGGGAGGGCAGGAAGGAATAGCATTTGTGTCAGTAACAGAGGCTATCCTGGAGCAGGCCCTAGGGGGCCATCTAGGCAGGAATTATTTGGTGGAGAGCACATTAATCTCCTTCTTGGAGATATCATTATTAACCACACTCTGAGATCTCTGAGGGAAGACCCTTGCCTAGGCTGATCAGGAGAGGGCACCCAATGACCACTTCTTTGCTGCACTTTCTACCGGTCAATCTTTGCTGATTTGACCATGACTACTTTTTCCATGGTGAGGAATTTGTCAGTTGAAACTTGGGTTATGTTGAAGTTCTGTTGACCTGAGTTCCTGAGGTTTAACTGGACTCAGTAACCACAGGGAATGGTACAGATAAATCAATAAATCTAAATCTGGTTAATGATCTCATCATCTGCTATTCTTATACTTTCTTTGTGGACCCAAAGGACAACAGGGTGGCTTGCAGGGCTTCTATAAACACTACAAGACATGTTATTCAGTGGCAGCAGTAGACTCACCATGGGTGGGTCAAACCTGTTGGGACTCAAATAGTCATCAACTGAGGATGGTGAGGGTATCAGGTGTTCATGTCCTCTGACAGCCTGCCTTTCCCCTCCTCTTTAGGTAGTCAACGCACTCTGGAGGAAGGGGGCATTTAGTGACACATCCAGCAAGGAACCAATGTCCCTCGCTAGGTTTAATAATATTTTCTCATTTATTGTGAAGGCAAGTATAACTACGTTTCAAGGATATCTTTGGGCTACTGGAAAGATCAATCTCTAAGTGTTCTATATAGTTTTTCAATAAAGTCACAAGTCTCAATTAGTTGTTGCATTGTAGAATGTCCGTTGATGTCAAGGACTGGCCTAGAGCTAACTGAAAGCATCATTTAATCCAATTCAGTGCTTGGGGTGTCCAAAAATTTTAAGACACATTGCCAAGGGACCATGAGTAATAGCCAGGTAACTGCTTCCACAGCTTTTTTAGAGCATCTTTTGTCAGACTTCTAATTTGACTCAGAGATTAAGTTTGGCCAGGGAGTCAGAGGCACTTACTAAAGAGAAGGACAAAGATTCCCCTGAAAATCAAAAGTTTTCTGTAAATAATGTTTCTTAAATAATGTCTTATTGTTTGATTTTTAAATAAATTATCAGGTATCCTTTCAAGGGGTTCGGTTGACTAGATAATACCACTAATATTATCAATACTATTCTATTGATCAAATGACAAAGTTTGTCTTCTCCATATCTTCAATTTATAAAAAGCCTTAAAAAGTATTTAAACAGGCCGGGCACAGTGGCTCACACCTGTAATCCCGGCACATTGGGAGGCTGAGGCGGGCGGATCATGAGGTCAGGAGTCGAGACCAGCCTGGCCAATATGGTGAAACCCCGTTTCTATTAAAAAATACAAAAATTAGCCAGGTGAGGTGGTGGTGTGCGCCTGTAGTCCCAGCTACTCAGGAGGCTGAGGCAGGAGAATTGCTTGAACCCAGGAAGCAGAGGCTGCAGTGAGCCGAGATTGCACCACTGCCCTCCAGCCTGGGCAACAGAGTGAGACTCTGTCTCAAAAAAAAAAAAAAAATTTTAATACTTTGACGGTAAAGCCATCCCTTTTTCATCTTTCTATTTATGTTCTGTAGTAGAGTACTTAGCATATATGATACATTTGTATTGAATGACTAAAACATTTTATTGAATGACTGAGGGTCATCCATCAGCTTCATGCACTATTTTTTTAATAACAAGCATGAAAAATGGATACATTTGACAAGCGGGCACACTGTGGTATGAAAAATTCTAAAGATTCTCCCGTCTGCCAAGGTGTCCTGATTATTCAAATACTTATCTAGCTATTACTGTGTAGGTACTTTGCAGATGAAATTAGAATGACTAATTAACCAACGATAAGATACAGTGAATATCCAGGATTAGTCAAGTGTAGCGGCATGAGTCTGCAAAAGCAGAAGAGGAAGCCAGAAGTGCCAATCAGAGATATGGGAGAATAAGAAAGGAGAGAAGAGGCTGAAGGGGCTGCAAGAGAGATTCCAATCATGAGAAGAATTCAACCTGCCATTGCTGTGTGTAAAGATGGAGAAAGTGGGGCAAACCAACCAATGTGAGAAGTGTCTAAAAGCTGAGTGACCTCCAGGCAACGGCCACCAAGAAAAAGGGGACCTCAGTACTATAATCACATAGAAGCAAATTCTACCAGCAATGTGAATGAGCTTGAAAACAGATTTTTCCTGGCTGGGCACGGTGGCTCATGCCTGTAATCCCAGCACTTTGGGAGGCAGAGGTGAGTGGATCACCTGAGGTCACAAGTTCAAGAGCAGCCTGATTAACCTGGCAAAACCCTGTCTCTACTAAAAAATACAATAATTAGCCAGGCATGGTGGTGCACACATGTAGTCTCACCTACTATGGAGGCTGGATCAAGAGAATCACTTGAACCTGGGAGATGGTAGCTGCAGTGAGCCGAGACCACACCACTGCAAACTTCAACTTGGGCGACAGAGCAAGACCTTGAAAAAAAAAAAAAGGAAAAAAGAAAGAAACAGATTATTCCCAAATATTCCAAAAATTAAGGAACCTTGCCAGCATCTTGATTTTCACTTGGCGAAACCTGAAGCAGAAAACTACCTGAGCTACACTCTGCCTGCACTTCTGACCTCCAGAACTGCAGTATAATCAATAGGTATTTTTTAAAGCCACACAATTTATGGTGATTTGTTACAGCAGCAATAGGAAACTAATATACAAATCAACCCGTTTATATTACAAAATCAGAAAAATACCAAAGTTATTTAATGGCTCTGTTAAATGTGCCAATGGGATGGGCTTCTGTGAGAGACGCACCATGACAGTGGCAGCTTGAGTGGCCAAGGCAAGATGGGTCAAAGTCAGAGTGGGGGTCATGATACTGGAGGAGGCAAGAATCCTAACACAAACAAGAAAAGAAGTGTGAACCTCTTGTACCAACTAGAGTGGGGAAAAATAAGAAAACAAAGGGACCAGATGCTGCCAGCAAACTGCAACTGGTAACACCTCACATTCAGTGCCTGTTAAAATTATTGAAGTTAGAATTAAAGACTACCTTCTCATGGAGGAAGAATTCATTATATATAAGGAACAAATGAAACCATTAGAAGAAAAGCAAGAAGAAGAAAGCAAGATCCGAAGTGGGTGATCTGAAGGAGACTCTGACATCAGTAGGAACCTTGGAAGAGATCATTGATGACAATCATACCACCGTGTCTACATTTGTGAGCTCAGAACACTACATCAGCATTCTGTCATTTGTAGACAAGGATCTGCTGGAACCAAGCTGCTTGGTTCTGCTCAACCGCAAGGTGCATGCCATGATAGAGGTGCTAGTTAGGGTGAAGAAGGTGGGAAAGGTCTCCAAGGAGACCTATGCCAATTTGGAGGATTGGCCAACCAAATCCCAGAAATTAAGGAATTTGTGGAGCTTCCTCTCACACATCCTGAATGTTATGAAAATATGAATATCAAGTCCTCTAAGGAGATCATTCTCTATGGTCCACCTGACACAGCTAAAACCTTGTCGACCAAATTAGTTGCAAATCAAACCTCAGCCACTTTGTTGAGATTGATTGGCTTTGAACTTTTTTAGAATTACTGAGGTGATGGGCCCAATTTCATATGGGAATTGTTTCAAGTTGCTGAAAATATGCACCTTCCATTGTGTTTATAGATGAAATTGATGGCATTAGGAAAAAAAGATATGACTCAAATTTTGGTGGTGAGAGATAAATTCAGCCAATAATGTTGGAACTGTTGAACCAGTTGGATGGATTTGGTTCAAGGGGAGATGTAAAAGTTATGGCCACAAGACAAATAGAAATTTTGGAGCTAGCGCTTATTAGACCAGATCGTATTGACTAGAAATTTGATTTCCCCCTACCTGATGGAAAGACTAAGAAGCACATCTTTCAGATTTGCACAAGCAGGATTACGCTGGCCAATGATACAATCCTGGACAACTCCATCATGGCTAAAGATGACCTCTCTTGTACAGACCTCAAGGCAATGTGAATAGAAGTTGGTCTGGTGGCCATAAGAGAACATAGAATAAAAGTAACACAATGACTTCAAAAAAATCGAAATAAATGTTCTTTATAAAAAACAGAAAGGCACCCCTTAGGGTCTCTATCTCATATACCACAGTTGCCATCAGGAAAACGGTTGGGAGATTTCCTAACCCCCAAGTGAGGCTGGGGGAGTTGCCCAGTGAAATCCATTTTCCAGTTGATTTTTATTAGCAAACATCCTATGTGTCTTTTGGAGAGTGATGTGTAAGATGGCCATTGGGCGGCCTTTGTCTGTTGGTCACTATGCTCCAACACTGTGTTTCCCAAAAAAGGGTGCTCTTTCACGCACAACAAATACCTATAAACACATAAGTAAATAACTGTATATTTATAATGCTTGAAGAAATAATAAACAGCCATTTCCAGAATTGAGACCATCCAGGATGAAAATGTGAGGTATGAACTTCAGTCCTTGTTTATTTTTCCTGCATCTTAGGTACAAAATATATTAATGCTCCACGCATTTATGTTTTGTACCAACTTTCGTATTTAGAGCATCATACATAACAATATATGTTGTAATGTAGCTAGTGGTTCTTTTGTTTGCTAAGAGATACATTAATGGCAGGTACTAAATTATTATTTGACAAACTCGAGAAATATTTCTTAAAAATTTATGTAGCTCACGCCTGTAATCCCAGCACTTTGGGAGGCCGAGGCGGGTGGATCATGAGGTCAGGAGATCAAGACCATCCTGGCTAACAAGGTGAAACCCCGTCTCTACTAAAAATACAAAAAATTAGCCAGGCGCGGTGGCGGGCGCCTGTAGTCCCAGCTACTCGGGAGGCTGAGGCAGGAGAATGGCGTGAACCCGGGAAGCGGAGCTTGCAGTGAGCCGAGATTGCGCCACTGCAGTCCGCAGTCCGGCCTGGGCGACAGAGCGAGACTCCCTCTCAAAAAAAAAAAAAAAAAAATTTATGTAGCTACCAAGAGAATTATCACTTTATTCCAATTTTTTTATAGAGTATACTATTTCATTAGTTTCCATTTTAGGGTTTTGTTGGTGTTAATTTTTATCATTTGCTTTTAATTTCCTCCTGAATTTCTTTGACAATTATTATAATTATTTCTACTGTTCAGAAAAGCTTCAAAAATAGGTTAATATAAGAATATATAGTCTTGTGATTTTTAAATGTTGGTTGTAAGCAACTAGTAAATTATTCATCCCAGAAGGGAAATAATCTAAATCCTTTATTAAGCAATAAATGAATGCAAAATCATAATTAAAATTTTACATGCTTCTGTGGAGACCATTTAGACCTTAAATTGCAAAATGTAATGTATTCCTCATTGAATAATGCTAATGTTGTCTTTTACTACAAAATAGTCAATGTGGTTATGTAAGTAACTTCTGTACTGACTTCTTTCTTTCTACACATACTTTTTATCCCAACTGTCTAGCTATTTCTGATTATGCATATAACAGGCTTTCCCGAAGTATCATTTATGCATATAAGCATAAGGACAAAAGACTAAATAAATCTTAGGTTGACAATAAAATTCTTTAGTTCCTGGAAAATTGTTGTTTTTTTTTCTGAGAAGTTAGGGTATAAACTTTTTTTCAATTTTCTGTAAGTACAGAATGAGCACCGCCTGACACAATATACATACCTTCTTACAGATCAAAGTAGATTCTTCCAGCCACTTTTCTGAAACATGTCCTAGAGCAGGAAAAGCAGAGAGGCTATCTTGCATTACAACTTTCTTTTTCTAGTAAGGTTGTAGAGGAGCATTATTTTTATTCTTTCATCAAGCACTGGAAATCATTTCAGAAAAATTATATGATCAGGTGCCCTGGACAGTTTACTGCAATGAAAAGAAACAGACCTCAACACATAGGTGTGTTATTGTCTCATGATTTAATTTTCAATGATACTATTTTCTTCTAAGCTGTTAAAAACATATGGCTTTTATAAAGATTGTACAGAGATTTATCTTTTCTCCTAAACTTTCTAGCTCATACCGTTCTCAATGACTGCTAGACACCTAAAGAATATTGGCAAATACCGATGTTCAGCAATTTATCAAGGAGGCAGAAGAGATAAGTTTAGGCTCTACCAGGAAGTTAATGTACCTAATATTACTAATTATAAAAATAAATACTACTACTCTAATAATTTATACATGCATGTTTAAACTTTGCAAAGTAATTAACATATTTGAGAAATTTGTTAGTTTTGTTAAATCAAAAAAATAGAAGTAGTATTGTTTAGCTGACTGGAGTATTTTTTTAAAAAAATAAAATTTATAAATTATTTCTATAGGCTCCTTTCTCCTACATTAGTAGACAATAGGTATCACATATTAAACTTTTGAGCAATATATGTCCAGTATGAGAAGCAGACCAAATGATTACAAGAGTTAAAGAATCTTCCCAAAATAATTGCAAATGTTTTGCATAACATTCCAAAGTTTAAATATTATTTTTTTCTAATATCAATTGATATTCGAAACAAACCAGCAAAATGTTTATTAACTCAATGTGGTTATAAAATCTATATTCAAGGTGAGGAGATGATGTCTTAGAATTATTAAATGCATTTCCCTGGGAAATCATGACTAGAAAGGATCAGAATTAGAATATCATTCCTTTTTTATTAAAAAGTCAATGCTATTTCCACTATAATTTCTAACTCCTCTTATCTATTCAACAGCATTTTGTCTGAGACCACTTCCAGTCATAGAATCACATATACTTAAGGGACTTAAAATAACAAAATTTTCTTTTCTCCTGTATGATGATCTTGAAAGATGGTCACCAGAAATTATTTCTGATACTAGAAACAGTTTTGAGATAATTATAAAATTCTTCTTTTTTAAAAAATTAATACTCTCATATTTTGTAAAAATATAGTTACTATGCATTAGGGAGCTACCACTTAGTGGGTGCTATAGAATTAATAAAGAAAACTGGCAGCCATTCACTTCAGTCCGGCAGAGTTGTATCTAGGTAATTTTGCTCTAGGTAAGGAAAACTCGGCAGAGGGTTTATGCGTATGATAACAAAACATGTATGGCATTTAGTAACTTTTCTGCATATTGCCATTATTAAGGAAGAAACTAACATATAATTTGAATGCTTAAAGAAATTATATTCCATGTTTATTTCCTAAGAGCTGATAACAAAATATAGAGAAAACAGGAAAACACCGTTAAACCTGTACACATTAACAGCTCTTTGAATACTTTTCTTCGTTGTATAATTTGAATAATATTAATTAAACAAGTATATGTTTGTATATATAAGATTAAAATGTATGCAAAGAAGCAATATAGAGTCAAAAAATATCTGCTGATTGTTGTTTTATCATTTCTAAAGCAATAAGAAAAATGCAGGTATATTCACAGACATATATAGTTTCAACTAAAACTATATCTTTAGTTCTAGCATCCTTTCCTGGTTCTGAAAATTAGGACCTTCTATACAGATTAAAGAATGGTAGTTCTTAGCCTTTACAAGGAGATACATATATCTGTGTGTGTGTGTGTGTGTGCGTGTGTGTGTGGAAGAAAAATATTAATATGCAAGGATTTACAAAGGTGATAAACAGAATAGTAATTGATTTGCCCTTGGATGAAAGAAAATTACAAGAAGGCAGATGTTGCTTCAAAAATAGGACAATTTTCTAATAGAGCTATTCAGCAGTGATAAGGGCTTCCTCACAGGGTCGTGGGTTTCCCATCACTGAAAATAATTACCGGGTAATCAGTGCACAGTAAAAGTGTATGGAATGTAAATTAAATTAAGTGATTTCAAAGAATGTTTCCAATTTAAGAATATGTTAGATAGTGGTAATTCCTATTTGATATTCTGTCTAGATAATGAGAATTGGACCAGATGACACCAATATTTTCTTAGTGCTTTCCGAATCCATGATCTATTACAAACATTTTCTTTTTTTGGAAATTGTTATTGCAGAAAGGAGAAAAATGTAGTCTGGTCTCTTTTATTTCACTTCCATTGTCACCCTCTTCAAATCACTAAATTTTTCTTCTTATTATAAAATGAATGTAATTATTTTATAATACTATACTGTCCCCCTCACTAGAAAGTAAAATTCTTAAGGCCAGAGCCTTTCTTTTTTTAAATTTATATATTCCCAGTATTAAGCATATACTAGGCATAGAGAAAGAATCCCATAAAACATTATTGCTTGAATGACTGAATAATCAGAAAAATAGAGAAAATAAAGTAATGTTAATGTAGCCTCTAGAGCTAGCAAGAGGAGGCTGAAGGGAAGGGTAGGGTCAGATGCAGAATAGTAATGGCTAACACTTATGTGTTCCTTTCTATGAGACAGGCATTCCTCTAAGGATAGTAAATTTAATTTAGTCTTCATACCTAATTCTGATAAGAATGCATTATCATGGATGCTATTTTCATCCTCATTTACATACAAGAAACCCAGCTCCTTAATGTTCCACAGCTAGTAAGTAGCAGAGTTGACATCTAAATCCTGTCCAACTCTCCAAATTAAATCACCCATAATCACCATGCCATATTGTGCGACCCAGAAATATTAAGAGTTGTAAATAAAATCCAGGTGAGCACCTTAAGAGTAAGGGTGCATATATGTTACATAGGTCAAAGTAAGACATTAAGCTCAAAATAGATGGGTGAGGAGAACCAGAAAAAAATTAATCAAATAATAGATAGGCCAGGTTGTGTAATGGAAAGTGTCATAGGCTTAAGGACAAAAAGCTGAGTTTCTAATCCTAGCCTTATCTTGACCATGAGTATGACTATATGCGAGCTCCTCTTAGCTTCAGCATTCTCCCCGGTAAAATAACAAGTTGTGATAATCTCATAATGAGTTTCCATTCCCTTTGAAATTCTAAGGTAGTGTTCAACAGTTCAGTCAGCAACTTTGACAAAGGGATTAAAAATTCAGGCAAGGCAAATAATCAAAAGCCCAGTAAAATTCGTTTTAAACCCTGAGAAAGTTAGAATCTTGACAGCAATATGTCAGTGCAACAACATTAAGGTAATTATTACTAAAAACTCTTGATACTTGAAGGGAGATGTCTTTCTCAACTCTGCATTTTTAGAAAGTTTAAATTCTAAAAAGCAATAGAAAATTATATATATATATATATGACCTATGCAACATATATGCAGCCTTACTCTTAAGGTGCTCACCTGGATTTTATTTATAACTCTTGATATTTGCTATCCTCCATAAGGGACATGGGAAAGCTAGTATTTCTTAAGGGAATTACTCTATAAAAGAAATAACTTAGAAATTCTTATTTTAAAGATGGGAAATAGTTGTGATGCTTTCTTAAGTTTATTTGAGATTTTTAAAGTAAGTTTTTTTAAAATTATAATTTTTATAGATCTCTCCAATGATGTGTGTTAGTTTCCTAGATCTGCTGTACAAAGTTCCACAAAATGGGTGGCTTAAAAGACATTACATTTACTTTTTTGCAGTTCTAATGACCGGAAATTCAAAGTCATATTATCCACAGGGTCATGTTTTTTCCTAAAGTGTCTGGGGAAGAATCCTTTCTTGCTTCTTCCAGCTTCTGTTACTGACAATCCTTGTTATTCCTCAGTTTGTGGTAGCATAACTACACATAATCTCTGCCTCTATCTCAGATAGCCTACTTCCCTTTGTGTCTCTCATTTCTTCACACTGAGTTCTATTCACGGTGTATCTGTGTATCTCAAAATTTCTCTTAGAAAGACCACAGTCATTAGATTATGGTCCACCCCAATCCAGTATGACTTTTTCTTAACTTAATCAACTATATCTGCAATGACCCTATTTCCACCTAAGGTCATATTCTTGGGTTAATATTAAATATAGTATTTGGAAGAGATGCTGCTATGATTTGTGTCCCCCCAAATTCCATATGTTAAAACCTAATCCCCATTGTGGTTATATTAAAAGCTGGAGGACATTGTGAGGTATTTGGGTCATAAGGGCTCTGCCTTGATAAATGGGATTAGTGCCTTGTAAGAGGCCAGAAGAAGCTTGTTTGCTCCTTCAGCCATATGAGAATGCAGCAAGAAAATGCTGTCTGTAAGGAAGGAGCCCTCGCCAAACAACAAATCTGATGGTGCCTTGATGTTGGACTTTCCAGTCTCTAGAACTGTGAGCAATAATTTTCTGTAGTTTATAAATTATCCAGTCTAAGATGGTTTTATAGCAGCTCAGAAAATAAGTAAGACAGAAATTGATACCGAGGGATAGGGAGTTACTATAACAAATCCCAAAAAATGTGGAAGAGGCTTTGGAACTACATAATGAATAATGGCTGGAGGAATTTTGAAATGCATACTAGAATAAACTGATATTGCCTTGAACAAACTGTAAAGGGCAATTTATGTGAGACTTCAGAAGAGAGCAGCAGAGAAAGTCTCAGATTACCTAAGTCATTGTGATCAGAATGTTGCTAGAACTATGACAGTAAAGGCCATCCTGATGAGGTCTCAGACTGAAATGAGGAATGGGTTTTTGGTAATTGAAGGAAAAGTGACCCTTGTTATAAAGTGGCAAAGAACTTAGCTGAATTGTGTTTGCATCCCAGCGTTTTGTGGAAAGAAGAACTTGTGAGTGGCAAAACACTTGGCAAAAGAAATCTCTAAGCCAAGTAACGAAGGAGCCACGTTGCTTTCGTCAACTGCTTATAGTAAATTTCAAGAAAATGGAAATGAATCAAAGACAGAATTTAAAATCAAAAGGGAAGCAGATCTTAAAGATTTGAAAATTATCAGCCTGGCCCTGTTGTAAAAAATGAAAAAGCTGCTCGATAGAGAACACCAAAGCAGTGGTCAAGGTTTACCTGTGCCCTCTGAGGAAACAGCCACTGTGGCCTACATTGTACCTTTATATCCGATGAAATAGAAGACTGAAAATTTCGTTTCAATCTAGTACATAACATAACAGGAAAAACATTGTCTCAGAAGTCAAAAGATTAATTTTTCTATCTCAATCCTTAAAATAGTAGAACCATGCATATATCATGAAACTCTCAAAACTTTGCTTGCAAAGGACGCTTAAGGAATTAGAAATTTTAAAATCTTAGACCCAAAACATTAGACCCAAAGATTATATTTTTCATACTTACCTAATCAACCTCAACCAGAGGATGTAGCCAAATTCCAGGATCCCCATTTTTTTTCAGGTGCTTGGCATTATGAGCCTCCTAAGAACTCATCTTTCTAACCAATAACTGTTTAGATGGATGATTAAATAAATTCTATATCCTCTGGTGCATTGAAATCTAGCCAGAGATTATGTAGTGGTCTGACAAAGGATTTATCTTCCTACTATAATGCTTAGAACCGTGACTAGGAGTTTACTGTAATTGACTAATGGTCACAGAGTATAAGATGGTAAGACATAAGTCTTAACTCAGTAGACTTCCATGAGAGAGAGATTTCTTGAGTTAACCATATAGTACATAATGTGTTGGTTTGATATTAGCTGCTCATGAAGTAAACAAAATTAAAGTTACTTAAACAATAATAAAATATATTGCTATAGGTTAATATCCATATTTTAAACTTAATAACAAAGAGATGATAGTTGAAGGGATTTACTTATATTGTTTGATACAATATTACCATTAGGTTTCAGCTAATTTTCATATAAAAATTTATATTTCTAATAAAATTTCAAAAGAGTTTTATATATATATTATTAACAATAATTAATGTGGGAAGACCATAATTTAATTAATGCACAGAAGAAATGAATATTAGAAAATCTGTTCACATTAAGTCCAGGAAATAATTAAACAAACAAAAAAAAAACTGGTGCAAAACTTCTGTCTATTCAGGATAAAACAAAACTACATTGTTTTAGCTAGAAAAATTATTTTAAAATATTATGAAGTAGTCGTAGTAAATAGTAGTTTAGTCTTTATTTTTGTAGCTATCCTGTCTTATGAAATGGCAACTTACATTTGTTGCCAAAATCTTTCTTTATAATAAGCATTTTTAACCCATATGTAGAAAATGTGTGTATGTATGTGTGTGTTCATGAGATTCAATATGTTCAAATGATAATATCATACATATAAGACCATCAAAGTTTTAGACTACCTCTACTCCATTATTATCTCACCTAAACTTCCCTTTCAATGTTATTTCCCACCAATTTTCTGTGCTTGTTTTCAATCAAATTGACAACTATGGCATCACATACTATACTCCCTGATTATGTCTTTATATGGTTTTCACTGGCCAGAATACTATATGTCTCCATTTCCCATTTTCTGGTTTAAACTCCTTTCTAATATTTTAGGTCCACTTGAAAAGCTGGATTCTACAGAGTTGATTACTATCATTTTCCAGATAATTGCACTTTTTCTACGTGTCTCCCATATGGCGAGCTTTTTTATTCAAATCCATTTTGTCCTCACGATGATTATCAGGGCCATATATCAGGGTTTTGATAAACCTATGCTGAATGGTTGATTGAATAAACCTAAGAAAGAGATTGTACAAAAGGCATACAGGCCTCTTGTTATATGATCTTCATAGACAATAAGGAGTTTGCTAACATATGCAAGCAATGTAAGAAACTCAATGGGAATTGATATTTTCTCTTTTAGCAATAACACATAATGATGTTAAAACAACTAATTTCCAGAACCTACATTGTAGGTACCATAAACAAAGTATCATTAAAATGAGGCTTGATGGAAAAATAAAACAGCAAGGAGAACTTGAGAAATTCAATGAAGTGTAAAGAAAAAAAAAAAATAACACCTACATAATAATACGTAGGTAAGTGTGAAAGATCTGATACCAGCTCCTGAGGTCCCATTTCCTTATAGCAGTTTGTACAAACAACGCCGCTGGTTACCAAAAGATTTAGTGTAACTTATAAAAATACAAAATTATTGGAATATTATTTAAGTTAGATGCAGAGATAAAAAGAAAAGAAGGGCCGGGCGCGGTGGCTCACGCCTGTAATCCCAGCACTTTGGGAGGCCGAGGCGGGTGGATCACGAGGTCAGGAGATCGAGACCATCCTGGCTAACACGGTGAAACCCCGTCTCTACTAAAAATACAAAAAATTAGCCGGGCGTGGTGGCGGGCGCCTGTAGTCCCAGCTACTCGGGAGGCTGAGGCAGGCGAATGGCGTGAACCCGGGAAGCGGAGCTTGCAGTGAGCCGAGATTGCGCCACTGCAGTCCGCAGTCCGGCCTGGGCGACAGAGCGAGACTCCGTCTCAAAAAAAAAAAAAAAAAGAAAAGAAAAAGTGCTGTAGTGGTATTAAAACTATTATCAGAGCTGTCTGAAAAAGAAATCAAACTATAAAAGTCTATAGCCTTCCTACGAGATAGATTTCAATTTGACTCTAAGTTTTCTGGAGGCCAAATAAAAAGAGAAATCTGATCAATTTCATAATTTACAACATCCATGATAAAAGCAAACCAATTTATTCAGGAGAAGTGCAATTATTCTTGCTACTAAAACCTGAAAGAAACTTCTCCCAAGGGTCACCATAAAGAGGACACTATAAAATATAATGAAATATGCCTTGAACAGTATCTTTATGACAGATACCACTAGGAGTTTCATAGAGCTGTTTTTTATGACATCCCTCACTATATTTTGATGGCCTAGCTATAGAGTTCTGTGTGTGGTTTAATGGAGGCATAGATTTTTTAGTAACTGGAAAAACAGGTGGACAAATCTTTCAAAGATTCCTCAGAACATCTTTAGCTTCACGTAGTTTTTTTTTTTTTTTTTTTTGAAAAATCTGATGGCAAAACATCTCAGAACACTTAATTTGTTAATTACCTGAACAGTTATGGGCATCTATAATTTACATGGTGCCCAAAGGAAACACAAGGAACAAAACAATTTCCTGGAACCAAAATAACTACTTTCAGTTATTCTGGGAAGCCAATCAGTATAAATAAAGACATTATTTACAAATTGTATTATTATTATACAATTAATGTAAATGTATGACAGATGCCCTGAAAGAAAGTAAGTTAGTGCCCTTTTGTGAAAGCTGAAGTTACTTCAGTTCCAAGGACATACTGTAACACAGACCAGGTTTCTCCTCAAAAAATAAATTTGAAACTGCTCTAACATACAGATTAATGGTCACTTGCTGAATCCTCTACTCTGTTTAGCACGGTCACAATGCTTCTTTGGAAGAGTCTTAGTGTCACTCTACTGCAGTTTTTATACTAAAATATGTGTCCTGTGGCTATTGCTACCACCGCTGTGGCTTTAAAACTAGAACCTGAGAAGCCTTTGCTATGTCTTGGAGCTGTCCCAGGAGACATGGGGAGAGGTGGAGCAGAGAAGGCCAAACAGCAGAATCTCTGTCTTCTCTAAACATGTATCATCCACAGAAGACTTTTTGCTTAAAATGTAAGAAAGTTTTTGACAAGTAGTTTTTAAAATATGTTGTTAAAACACTGTACCATCCTGTGCTGTTTCTACAATTTTGTTTTTCTCTACAGAGATTATCAATTCATGTATTCAGCAAATATGTACTGCTCCTCTGCTGTTTTCCAGGCTTTGTGTCAGGATCTAGATATACAAGGTTATATAAATCAGGGTCTTACAGCTTAAAATTTGTGAAAAGATTTCTAAGTTTACCAAAGATTAGGCTGCAGTGTGGTATCTGCTGTGGCAGGGATACACCCACTACACACCGCAAGGGGATAGTGAAGGCGTGACCAGGTCAAATGAGACTCAGTAGAAACTTGAGGAGCCATATGTAATAGGTAAGTCTTGCATTGAATCTTGAAATGTGACAGAAATTTAGAAAAGCAAAGTTGATAAAAGTCATTTTAAGTAATGGAGTAAGTAAGGGAGGAAATGTCAAACAAGATGGCAAGTTGAAAAACAAAGAGAACAGGAAAAGGTCAGATTATGAACACCAGCTTGCTTAAACAAGAAATTTGAACCAAAATATAAGGAGAAATAATAAAACAAAACAAAACAAAAACTTCAGAATAAAACCATGAGCACATTTATGGTTTGGAAATATTATTCTGTCATCATGATAGAGGATGAAACTGAGAAGCTAAGAATAGAGTTAGGCAGTGTAATTAGGAGGTTATGGGAGCAAACAGGAAGAAAATAAATGGTAATAAGAAAATAAATGGGAATTAAGCCAAAGAAATTGTCATGAGAGGAGGGAATGATAAGAGATAATAGCAGGATGGAACTTGCTGGATTTTGTGACTTCAGTGGCCTATCTGTCCTATTCTTTCTCTTTTGAATAAACAATGGTGCATCTTATAGTGCTACTTTTATCTATGCAATTTTAGTGCCATTTTCTGATCCTCATATATATGTCTACATATATAGTCAAGCTTTTAAAAATGTGAAATGTTATTTTTTCCTATTCACCAAATCTTATATAGCAGTACACTTGAAACTTGAACATTTAATCACTTAGTACATTCTGCCTGCATAACAAAGCTCAGCATTATAATCCTGCACTTATTACAAGATCTGTGCTGTCTGGGATACATTTACACTTCAATGACAATTACAATGCTTTCATCTTAACAGCCTCTAGTTTCTGAAGGATCGAGTCTCAAGGATTATGTTATAATAAGAACAAAGGATATTGACTACTTTTCTTCTTTCTGAAATGCTTTACTAGCTAAATAAAAGTGAAACAGAATTTATGCCAAGATATTTTCTCCCTGCAGGAAAACATAATGGAAGTTATCAGAAATCAAGAGTTTTTACTCCTTCCAGCTGAGGAGCTCCATAAACTACTGGCCAGTGATGATGTCAATGTTCCTGATGAAGAAACCATCTTCCATGCATTGATGATGTGGGTCAAGTATGACATGCAGAGTAGATGCAATGACCTGAGCATGCTTCTTGCCTTTATAAGACTGCCACTGCTTCCACCACAGGTAATGATGTGTGACGCTGTTTAAATAGATTCAATGTACTGAAAAACCCTATATTAAAAGTAAACATCAAAACACATTTTTAATTAGGTATTCACATTTTTAAATGCTTTTATCAAATACTACTTTTAAGTTAAATTTGATGGTGGAAAATGATGTATGATGATGGATCGTGGATCTAAATCCTATCTCTGCCGCTTATTGACTCATGGCCACTTGTAAGATTATGATAATATCACTTAATTTCTCTGATATTCAATCTCTTTATAAAATGTGATCATACTGCCATACAGAAGTTTTGTGAAGATCCATTAGATAATATATATGTAAAAAGCCTAATCATAATACAGTGTCTCCTGTCAATTATTTGATATAAGATGCAATAATGTGATCATCCATTGATGTAAATGCATATATTGTGTGATTTTCAAAGCTTCAGTGCATGGTATTTCAACCTCTGCAGAGGAATAAAACATACCTGAATAGTAGAGAGTTATGATTTAACAGTAGTTAGCAATTAGAATTATGGAATATGTAATTGGAGTTAAGAAGCCTCTAGACACCAAGTGAGCCAACTTAACTTTATCGATGAGTTAAGTAGGGTACAGAAAAATTAATAAGAACATGAAGTTCACTCAACTTAGAAGAAGAGTGGCTAGTTCTCTCTGATTCTGAGTCTTGTATCTTTAAACTAATTTGCTACAAAATTCTCTATGTACAGCATTGTTAATTCAGGGTTTCTGGCTGGTAAAGTTATCCAAAAATAAGCTTGAAGGTGACCCTAACTTCTAAGTTGATGGGTAAACTTGTTTGTATATATAATTTGTGTGAGGGAAATGGGAGGCTTATCTCATTCACCAGATTCCTCATTTGAATCCAAATCACAATCAACATTTTTACTAATCCATATGTTACTAAAAATATAAAACAGAGAATTAGGACATTTAGTAGAAGAACAGTAGGCAAGTATGAAGTATTAACAGTAAGTGTAGAAGTGGGATTTATGGTCATATATTAAGAATGGAAAGTTAGAAACACATTACCGTAATTGAAAAAAAGAGAAGCTTTATAAATAAGTGATAATTATATATCCTTTGGCTGCTGAGATTAGTACAGGAGAAAAAAACAGCAAAATAATTTATGGAATTCAAATTATGTGAGCACATCATAACAACAGGCTCTTACAAAGAAGCGGAAACATGCATTTACATACCTAGACAAAGAAATTTTGCTGCTAAGTACTGAATTTTTGCAAATCTCCCAGCTTGGGTTCTAATGCCAGGTAGTATCTATTAGAGTTTGGGCGGGTAATCTTTTGGGGAAGAAATAGCCAATGATCACTATTAGCCAGAAAGCCAATGATAGTTATCAGTTAATGACAGATGCTGTGACAGTGGGTACCTTTGACTCTGGCACAGTCATTACTCTCTTCCCATTTCTACTGTTGGTTGAAATGTGGGGAGTTTGGAATTATGTTGTGCACAAAATCAGAAATAGTAGGACACATATTAGAGTAGGTCAAGAATGTGACCAGATTCCTCTTCTCAGGATATGTCATTCTTTTATGCCCTCGTTTCCAACTCTTCTGTCATCAGTTATAGGGAGATGCTGCCACCTGTGCATGTCATTAAATGGTTACATCAGATCAGAGATGTCCTGTTGGCTTTTTTGTTCCTAAGGCTATACATTATATGTGGAATTTTATTTCTTATTGGTTCAGGTGCTTTATCTTGCTTAGTGAAGTAATATTTATTAAAATTAAGATATAAAATATTCTTTTGATGTCACTATTAACAAAATTTTAAACAGTGTGCGATAGACATAAATGTAGCATATGTCTATTCTCCATTCCTCATCCTTCAAACTGGGGCTATCACACATTATAACTTTATATGTACCTTCACAACAGATGTGCAGGAGGAATGAACGGAAATATTTTCTGTTTATAAAATGTCTTCATATAAAAGAAGGGCTATCACTTCTACAACTAACGTTAATGAATTATGTGTCA
Source organism: Homo sapiens (assembly GCF_000001405.40). Classification (NCBI taxonomy): domain Eukaryota; kingdom Metazoa; phylum Chordata; class Mammalia; order Primates; family Hominidae; genus Homo; species Homo sapiens. Next base: position 69,880,274 of record NC_000013.11, on the reverse strand, counting down.
TTATAAGCATATTACATATATTTCTAATATTAAAAAACAGATGCAAAGTAAAGATTATTAAATCTGTTACACAGAGGAATATTAGGCTCAAAGAGGTTAAGTGATTTTCAAAGTCCATAGAGCTAGTGGAAAATCAGGTTTTCCTGCAAACATAGGTTGGCCAGATATGAATATACACAGAGATATTTCTACAATATGAGTGCCATTTCCCTGTTTGCTCTCTAACCTGGAAGATCATAAAATATCCTGAATTAATCAATTTTGAAGGTTCTTTTAAAGACACTGAAGATGGAAGAACAGCAGTTTGATAGGAACTTAAAGGCATTCATTTATTTCTTTAGTTACCAAACGATTTTATCTCATTTAATTTCTACAAAATCCCCATGTAGTTGATACTGTTATTCCCATTTGACAAATGAGTACTTTGAGAATCAGCGTGATTGCCATCTTCTTTAGTTTTAAAGACCAGATTTTACTCCAATTGGATCTGACAGAAATGTGGATCTTCTATCACTAAGGGGAAAAGAGTACAATTTTTTATTTAGGGTTGGTTTCATATTTGCCTCAATGTCAAACCAGAATGAAAAAAAAGTTTAATTGAATAAAGGATTTTACAGACTTGCACATGGACTTTCAAAGCTGCTAAACACCTTTGGGTCCTTATGAAAAGCTATTAAAATGGTCAGGAAACATTTTTTGCTGCTCTTGGATTCATTAACGTAAGGTTTGTCCATGCTTTTTTTCGAATGATTAATATATAGGTCGCTTATAATCTTTAAGTGATTTGTGTGCATATGTTGTGAGTATTTACACATGCACATGAGATGTTTGTGTGTGTTGCTACCAAGAGAAGATAGAATATGTGGAATTTCAAACACAATATGTTAGATGAATGAGAGAAAAATAGGAAAAAAATAGAAAAGAGTTGTAGTGGTAGGGGAAGTTATTTTGAGAATATGTCACAGCAATATTATAGCATAAATGAGAGTGGAAATGTTAAAAGTACCATGAATCAAAGTATTATATACTACTGAAGTAATCACATAATTTCTTTTATATATATATTTTTTATTATACTTTAAGTTCTAGGGTACATGTGCACAACGTGCAGGTTTGTTACATATGTATACATGTGCCATGTTGGCGTGCTGCACCCATCAACTCGTATCTCCTACGACAGGCCCTGGTGTGTGATGTTCACCTTCCTGTGTCCAAGTGTTCTCATTGTTCAATTCCCACCTATGAATGAGAACATGTGGTGTTTGATTTTTTCTCCTTGTGATAGTTTGCTGAGAATGATGGTTTCCAGCTTCATCCATGTCCCTACAAAGGACATGAACTCATCATTTTTTATGGCTGCATAGTATTCCATGGTGTGTATGTACCATATTTTCTTAATCCAGTCTATCATTGTTGGACATCTGGGTTGGTTCCAAGTCTTTGCTATTGTGACTAGTGCCACAATAAACATATGTGTGCATGTGTCTTTATAGCAGCATGATTTATATTCCTTTGGGTATTCAATCTTTCTCTCTCTCACTCTCTCTCTCTCTCTCTCTCTCTATATATATATATATGCATACACACATATATGTGTACACATACATGTATGTATTTATATGTGTTTATATACACACACGTAATGTTACATATAGTGTAACATATAATTATATATTGCTTATTTAATATATAGCAAAACACAATGTTATATTTTAAAATACTAGCAATATTTAAAGGAGGCAAGAGTCTATATTTTCTCAGTGAGGTAAGAGATGATTTTCAAAAGGAAACAGTACTTGGTCTAATTTTTGAAGGAGACTTGATTAATTTTTGTGTGTGTTTGTAAGGTAATTCCTGCAGATGTAAATGGCCAATTTCAGGTGAGTGAGAGAACAATATTTGAAAGACTCAATGTGGGCTGCTTACAAAATTCCTCACCAAAACATAACAAAACACTGACCAAGACAAGAGTATAACAATTAAAGAAGATTTTAAAAGATATTTAAAGCAAAAATATATAAATAAAAAAAAACAGATGTTTCCAGGATAGTGTTAAACCATGTAATCTGTAAGTACTTTTATAGCAAGGAGTAGCTATGATTGTATTTAGTAAATGCATGAACACATTTCTAGAATAAAGAGTAAAAACAAAAACAATGAAAGAGACTTCATCAACAAACAGAACATGTTAAAAGAACGATTAGTGCCAAAAATTAATTTAGCTTTAATAGCCTCTTGTGTTCATGAGGCAACTGACCAACTTGACTTGGACATATTTCAGTTCTATCATTTCTGCCCTCCCATGTGTTTTATTAGTAGGCCCATTATGTGTATCTGGGCTTTGTTATTTCTTAAGTACACAGAGAAAATCAGATATTCTTTATTAATTATAAATTAGCACATTAAGTTATGGTAATTTGGTGTAGAAAATATAACAGAGGATATGGATTTCAGATAAGAGCAGTGTAGACAAAAGGAGCTCAGGAAAGGAAGACAAGGTATGAAAAAGACTCAGAAGCAACACTGTTGCTCTCTGTCCTCTATTGAAATATAATAACTAATCCAGAAACAAATTCAGTTATTTACTTTGCTATAGACCAGAGAAAAAGGGAAAATGATAGTGATAGATAACTGAGTTATAATCCAAGAATGAATTACACTATTTAAAAAAATAAGTTATGAATGGAATTTTTTGTAATAGTTTTCATATTTTTCCTGAATAGCCTGAGGCTTCACAATTTCAGCAGTATTAGAAAACATATAGAAATTTCTGTCCTTTTAGAGAATGACTGAAAAAAAAATATATATATATAGTTTACTTAGAGGATACCTGATTTGATTTACTCATTATTCTGCTATTTTTCTTTCTGGGATTCAACAAAGTACCATGTTGCTATAAAATAAATAACGTGTTTTAACATTTTATAACAATTATTTCCACTGATTTTAATTGAATTCATAAGATATTTCTTTGTAGTATGTACTTAAATATTTACTATGTATGAATTTTAAAAATACCCATAAGTATCAGATTTTTGCTATATTATTTTCTAATGAATGGCTTTAAATGTAAAAGTATGTTGTTTAAAAATCAAGAGACTATAATTCTACATATTATCAAGTCAAAAGGTGCTCAGGGGAATTCAGTTTTATCATGGTCAGAGATTATTTAGAAGGTTGGAGATATAAACTTTGCTTCCTAGCTCAGAATTGGTAGTGTTTATATCTTTTTTTTTTTGGACAGAGTTATGCTCTTGTTGCCCAGGCTGGAGTGCAGTGGCACAGTCTTGGCTCACTGCAACCTCTGCCTCGCAGGTTCAAGCGATTCTCCTGCCTCAGCCTCTTGAGTAGCTGGGATTACATGCATGCGCCACCACGCACGGCTAATTTTGTATTTTTAATAGAGACGGGGTTTTGCCACACTGGTCAGGCTAGTCTTGAACTCCTGATCTCAGGTGATCCACCCGCCTCGGCCTCCCAAAGTGTTGGGATTACAGGCATGAGCCACTGCTCCAGGCCGGTATTTTTTATCTCTTTTAAGACAAAAGGAAACATTTTTCAAACTTCCTAACAATCAAACCTACTGATTCTTAAGGGAAATATATAGCAATGTGTGTGTGTGTTTGTGAGTGTTTATGTGCATGTACATTTATTTTCTGTAGCAAAAGGTAGAAGAAAAAAGCTTGCAATGAAATAATAGAATATTGCCTAGATTTAGAGGAATATGGTTTAATCTAATAACAAGCACAATAAAATAACAAGGACATTCAAGTATTTAACTTTAGAAGACAGATGCTGTCTCTATTTTACATGAATTAAGTCTCTCTGTGTAAAGCTGAATAAATTATTCCAAAAGATTACTTGTAGTGGTCATAGCAATGCAAGAAGGAAGGGTGAGGTCTCCAACCTTTTTCATTGGAAAAGTGACTATTGATCAGATACCAGTGACATACGGACTCTTCATGACCATAGAAATTATAGCTACAACTAAAACATCTGATTTATAAAAACAGTTAGAAAGAGTAAATCAATATAAAAGGAGCCTTTTGAAATCACAGTGGAAAATATACAGAGCAGATTACACTCAAGAAATTTATACGTTATATTTGATTTTACCTCCCCAAACTACTCCTTGATAAGTGTCTCCAAGGCTAGCTGCAAAAATGCTCACTGTTAAATGTGTTCTGTATGTTATCTTTACAAAGGAAAAAATTAAAACTCTTATTTTCTTACAAATGAGTAAGGCCAAAATAATTAATCAAGCCCACTAACACAATCCATTAACAATCATTGTTACTTTTTCAATGTATTTTTCCCCCTTTGATTTGCTGGCTGTCTGATTAGTTAATGATTATACCAGGCCATCATTATTGAGATAGTCTTCTCTACAAAGCTAGATTGCAGGAGTAAGAAAAAAAAAAGAATAGGATTACTTTTCTCCAAAAGAAATCTTAAAAACAATGCCTTTAAAACAGAAATACATAGACAATAAATAATGCTTCTAAGATCAATAAATTTATCCTAAATGATACTTAGATTCATGATCATTTAGCCCTCCTGTGACATTCACCGTTCAAGTTACAAAATTTAAGAAAAGACAAAGTGTTTTGTTAGCAAGCTTTAAGTCAGCAGAGGTATTAATATAATAAAAGATATGCAAGGACATTCACATGCACAAACTCCTCATACATATACATGTTACTCTCTTTGGTATAGCAAAAAATAGAGAAGAATTTGGAACATAATCTGAAAGTCTTTATTTTCGTTACAATATATTAAGTGTTTCTGCTTGAATCAAGGGTTGATTCCACTGGATCTATTTTGCATCCCATCTTTCTTGCCAAAGGGGTTCCACTACTGCAATGAGCACTTCTTACATTATCAATTGTATCAATTTTTAGTCTATTTTGGATAATTCCAATCAATTTACAAAGTTCTGTTGTTTCAAACACACAAAATTAGTCATATTCATTTTCACTATTCCAGCTCTCTTTTGCCTTTCCAACATAATATGTAGTTATTTTTTATAATTATTAAATGTACTTTTACTTAACCATCATTCTCTCTTCAATCCACTTCAATCAATCATTTGCCCTAATGAAAATCACCAAACTCCTCTATGGTGTAATTTTCCCCCCAATCTCAATTGTGTTTGACACAGTTGATTTGATCACTCTTGCTCAACTGTCGTTGCTAATTTGTTCTACTCTCTGATGTTACAGTGCCCCAGGACACTATATTTTTGGTGGAGAAAATATCATTTAATTTTATACTTTCAAATGCTATGTAGAAACAAATTACAAAAAACAATTTACCTGTAGTCCTAAATTTCTTCTGAAAAACAGATTCAAGGGCCCAATTAACTACTTGACAAGATTTATGCTCTTAGGATAAAACCTTAATATCCCTATCCTACAAAGCCCTACATCATTTACCCCAAAGCTACTTCTCTGAACTCATATTCTGCCAGCTGTCAGTATTCTTCAGCCATACTGAACTTCTATTTCTTGAGGAAGTCAGGGTTATCCAAATTAAGTTGGTTTATAAGCATCTTTACATACTACAGAATATTATACATAGCATTTACCAAGAGGACACAAAGTGCAAGAACAGTTATTTTTCTCAATTAAACATTAAAGGAAATTCCATTTTTTATTCATCTATATTTTATATTAAAATGATGACATTAATATAGGGTATAATAATTTGTAAGTAAAAGAAATATTGTGAAACATCTGCAGTAAAGCAAAGGCCATTTAAATCATTAGACCTTTTCCAGTGATTTTAAGATTTTGGAAAACTGAATTAATTAAACTACTTTAATATTTTAAGTGGAGATATTGAGTAGATAGTCGAATGCATCATTCAGGAGTTGTAGAAGGATGGCCAGAAGGTATTAAATAGGAGATTGATAGCATATAGACATAATTTAAATACATAACATAACATGATATCACCAAAATAGTGAGTATAGAGAGATAAGGGAAGAGGACTATATAGTCCATTAGTACCAACTGATTCTGGAGACTAGAAGCAATGGCATTTAAAGGGGAGAGGATTGTAGTGGCAGGCACACACTGTGAGAGGGAAAACACTAAAGGGAGGTGCATAGTCTAGAGATAATTTTTAAAAATTATTTTTGTTATTCGTATGAGTACTATATCTTGCCAATTCTAAACAATTACTGCTAACATCCTCCTACCTGTTAGGATGAACTGCCCCACTCCACCCCTCAATTGAGATTGCCTAGAAGGTGGTCACCCATCATGACTAAGTCTTTTTATTAATCACGTTTCAGCTTAAATGTTTACTGTTCTTAGAATTTTCACCTACTATATTCTTGCCTCGTTTAGTGGTTTATTTCCCTTCTTACAACTATATTTTTGAGAAATACAGATGTAGAGGTCTTTTCAAAAGTTCCTGGCACAGACAATACTCAAATTTTTACTGAGTAAACAAATACAAGTTTATTCTTGGTCTTAGCAAGTTTAGCTTCATTTACTTTTTTAAATATATATACTTTAAGTTCTGGGATACATATGCAGAACGTGCAGGTTTGTTACATAGGTATACATGTGCCATGGTGGTTTGCTGCACCCATCAACCCATCATCTACATTAGGTATTTCTCCTATCTGTTGATATGTTATTTGTCTGGAATGTGAGAGAAATCTTTATACTTTTATGTGGCAGTGGAGCTAACAGTGGGTGCTAAGAACCCTGCTGTAAAGAGTTATTAGAGCATATTGATTCAGACTTGACTAAAAATCCCTTATTGAATGGACAAAGGGAAGGCAAACTTAAACAAAACATAATATCCATCTTGTCACTCAGATAAATTTATAAAATATAAATATATCAAAGTTCCTCTAATACCTAATTTGAGAGAGAGAGAATAGAATTGTTGAAATATTTTTTGAATATGTTACAGTGTGTGGTATTTTGTGTGCAAGTGTATGGATTGAATTTAGAAAAGATAATTGGAAAATTATTTATGTCCACTAAAGGCATAAATATGTGTTTGCAGATGTTACTAGGACAGGAGACCTGATGATATGTCTGTTTATTTGGATCCTACTTTTGACTAACATTAGTTCACTATTTGATCATGGAAAGTATATTAAGTTTCATTGGACCTCAGTGTCCACATTCCGGCAAGGAGGAATTTGGACCTATAATTTTAGGGAATTATTTTGACAATAACACTATATGAGTAAAAATAAGTTATAATTTCCTAAGAATTGATGTCTATTCAAAGTTAAACTGCATAGATAATTTTATAAGGAAATAAGATGTGTATGCCTCCTACTGTAGTTTGGACATTCATCCCTCAAACCTCATGTTGAAATTTAATCCCCAGTGTTGGAGGTGGGGCCTAATGAAAGATGTTTGTGTCATTGGGGAGGATCCCTCATGAATGGCTGGTGCTGTCCCTATGGTAATGAGTGAGTTCCCACTCTATTAGTTACACAAGAGCCGGTTGTTAAAAAGAGCCTTGCCCCTCCCACTGTTACCAAAAAATCCCCGTTTTATTCTCCTGACAAATAACAAATGATTCTCCATGAGAATGCAGATTTTGATCAATAGGAGATATATTCTTGGCACAAGTAAGGAGGCCACTGGGAGTATTCTCAAAAGGAGTGTCTCCCCAAGAGAAAGTGACGGGAGGGTTTTATGGGGTGATAGAGAGGGGAGAGGGTGCATCATTGCATGTAGAGATGGGGTCCTAGTTGCACAGACACAGTGAGTCATCACGCTGGCACATGGATTGTGTATTATGGTAATGAAGATATAACTCCTCTCAGGGTGGAGACTTTGGCATGGTAATGAGGAAAGTTTACTCCAGTGCATCTATAAGTTGCTGGGATCTGTCAGAAACTAGTTTTAACCAACTAGGTAACTTTATGTCATACAAGCTTTAGAAAGTAACAAGCTACAGGAGGCTGTAGGGCAGGAGGCTGTAAAACAGGCCGATTGCTCATGTTTATTAAATTACTGTAATCCCTGGAGTCCCCCCTATGTACTTACATCCTCCCTCTGTCTTGCTTCCTCTCTTACCATGTGATCTATGCACATGCTGGCTTACCTTCACCTTCTGCCATGAGTGGAAGCAGACAGAGGCTCTCACCAGAGGCAGGTGTAGGTGCCATGCTTTTTGTGCAGACTTCAGAGCTGTAAGACAAATGAACTTGTTTTCATTATAAATTATCTAGCCTCAGGTAGTCCTTTATAGCAACACAAAACAGACTTAGGCAGAAAATTGATACGGAGAGTCAGTGTTGCTATAAAGATTCCTGAAAATGTGGAAGCAGCCTTGGCACTGGGTAACGGGCAAAGATTGGAAAAGTTTGGAGGGCTTAAAAAATAAAGCAAGATGAGGGAAATTTTTGGAACTTCTTAGAGATTGCTCAAGTGATTGTGACCAATATGCTGATAGAAATATAGACAAGAAAAGCCATACTGACAAAGTCTCAGGTGAAAATGAGGAACTTATTGGGAACTGGAGCAAAGGTCACCCTTGTTCCACCACAGGAAAAAAAAAAAAAAAAGTTGGCCGAATTGTGTCCATGTTCTGGGGTTTTCTGGAAGGCTGAACTTAAGATCAATGATGTAGGGTAGATTGTGGAAGAAATTTCTAAGCAGTAAAGTGCTCAAGAAGTGATATAGCTGTATTTAACAGCTTATAATCATATCAGCAGCCAAGGAATGACTAAAGGTGGAATTTATAGTAAAAAGGGAAACAGAGCATAAAATTTTGGAAAATTTGAGCCTGGTCATGTGGTAGAGAAGGAAAAAACAGTTTCAGAAGAAGAATCCAAGGATGCTGTGGAGCAATCGCTTACTAGAGAAATTAGCGTGACTAAAGGGGATCCAGGTGCTAACAGTCAAGATCGTGGGAAAAGTAATTTCAGAAAGTCTGGAGGCAGCCCCTTCCATCACAGGCCAAGAGGCCTAGAATGACAGAATGGTTTTGGGGGACAGGCTCAGAGCACCACTTCCCTGTGCCACTTTGGAGTACTGCTCCCCATATCCAGGCTGCTCCAGCTGTGGTTTAAAGGACCCTGGGTACTGCTTAGGCCATTGTTCCGGAGGGCACAAGTGGTAAGCCTTTGCAGCTTCCATATCTTGTTAAGTCTGCAAGTGCCCACAATGGAAAAGCGGTGGAAGCTTGGCAGCTTCCACCTAGATTTCAGAGGATGTATCAGAAAGCCTGGGAGTCTAGGCAGAGCCACCACAAAGAATAACTGCTAGGACACTTCCCTGTGGAACTGTGAGAGCAGAGACACTGCCCTCCAGACCCTAGAATTATAGAGACACTGGCAGTTTGCACCTCAGCCTGGAAGAGTTGCAAGCAGTCAGTTTCAATCCCTGAGAGCGGCCACATGGGCTGCACCAAGCAAAACCACAAGACCATGAGAGCCCACCTCTCACCTCTCACACTAGTGTGCCCCAGGTGCCGGACATAGAGTTACAGGAGATGATTTTGGAGTGTCAAGATTTAATGTCTCTCCTGCTTGATTTTGGACTTGCATTTGGCCTGTTACCTCTTACTTTGGGCCAATTTGTCTCTTTTGGAATGGGAATGTTTACCCGATGCTTGCATAACCATTGTATCTTGGAAATAAATAATATATATATATTTTTATTTTGTAGGATCACAGCTGTAACTTGCCTTGAGTCTCAAATGAGGCTTGACTTTTGAGTTGAGGCTGGAACAATTTAAAACTTTTAGGGAGAATTGGGGTGGCATGATGATATTTTGTATGTGAAAAGATACAAGATTTGATGGACAAGAAGAGAAATGCTATGGTTTGGATGTTTGTCCCCCAAAAACTCATGTTGAAATTTGCTACCCAATGTTGGACTTGAGGCCTAATGGGAAGTGTTTGGGTCGTGGGGTAGATCCCTCATGAATGTCTGGGTGCTGTCCTCATGGTAATGAGTGAGTTATTGCTCTATTAGTTCTCTGGAGAGATGTTGCTAAAAAGAGCCTGGTACCTCTCCCAGCTTCTCTCTCTTGCTGTGTGATCTCTGCACCAGCTGGCTCCCCTTAAACTTCCACTACGAGTGGCAGCATCTTGAGACTTACCTAAAGCAGATGCTCATGCCATGCCTCTTGTAAAGTGTGCAGAATAGTGAGAGAAATACAACTATTTTATTTATAAATTACACAGTCTCAGGTATTCTTTGATAGCAACACAAACTGAGACACCTCCCCATCTTAAAAGCATACATTTTTATAATGTCTAAAACCTATCAATTTACTAAAGGAGAACAAATAAACAAAACACCCTGCAGAACTCTCTTTTTGCTCGACAAATAAATTATCTCTTGTATGCTATAGTTTCCTTCCATTGTAGTATTTTTTGTAATAATCATTACTCACAACTTTTGAATGACAGAAAATGCTACAATTTAAAACTAAATAAACTGTGTAAAATTAGTTTACAACTTCTGTAATTTAAAATATTCCTTAGAGGGAAGAGAGCCATGTGATGGGACCACAAGTAGGTTAAATTTTCTCACACATATGTTGAAACAGTTACTACTAAGATTTTCATTTCTAAGAGTATCAGAAAAATATAGTTTATTATTTTAAACACTCTGAAAGCTGAAACAAAAATGTCCTAGAGAAGAGCAATTCCACAGTGACTATTCAGAGAACCAGACAGATATACACTTTTCCATTGGAGTTAAATGGAGGAGACCTAGAGGTCACCCAAAATAAAAGTTTTTACTTTAATAATATTCAAAAAGTAAAACTACACTGCTATTGTTAAAAGTGATAAATATTTGTTTAGAATGTGGTCATAAATATTCAAAATTCATTGGATTAGTCTTTCAAATTAAGAAATAGTATCTTAGAAATAATCTTGTTGCTGCTGAGTTTCAAGTGATTTTATATTCTAAACATTAAGAAAATAGTGCACATATTAAATTAATATTTTCTACATATAAATCAAAATTTCTAATTTAATACTCTGAATAAATTGGAAGAAATTTTATTTACTTTCCATATGATAAATTTTAAGTTACTGTAAACAGTAAGGATCGGCTATTATCAGAAAATTATTTTAGGCTTCTGTCACTTAACTTCCTCAGGTAGAATTTATTAATGGATACATTACTTTCCCCCTTTTTTTCTTTTATATTACAACCAATAATTTATACAACATTTTTATATTTGTTGATTTGAAGTGAAGTTCACCCCCGATATTTTCTAGCTGCCGTTAGCTTCCTTATCAGGCCAATTCAGGTCTGCTTAGAATTGATTTTTTCATAATTAAAAAGTGAGTGAATTACTACGTGATGCCATACTGAACTGTGTACCCTCCTTACTTTCATGGATTATGATTGCAGGAAAGATCTTCAAAACTTGTACTATACTACTTTTTTCAGGTAGGAATTGAGGCTCTGAGAATTAAAGTAGACTGTATTTTAGGTAACATTGTAAAGCTCATTAATCACTGATACGTGTAAAATCAAATTTGAAAATCCAAACTCTAAAACAGCATTTTATTCATGTGTGAGAACAAGCTTTCAAACAAAAAAAAAATTATCTTTTGACATTTATGTCCTAACATTTAACACGTGTTGAAATATAAGCTATCATCATGATACTCACAAAATAAATAACAACGCAGATATTGAACAGCTCAATTTTTCAGATTATACATTAAAGGGAAAGTTAGATTATTTAAACCACAAGGCCTAATTTTATTGCAATTGGAAGAAAATTGTTTCCAAAATATTTAAGTAAAATTTAATAATCCATAAATGTTTCATTTAAATTTATAATTACATAATTGTTGTTTACTGAGCCTCTTAACATTCATTATCACCATCATCTAAAAAAATGTATGTCCATGTCATTTTTCTCTAACAAATATTGTCTTTAAATATAATTTATTGCACCATTAATGATTTTACCATGTTTATATTTTAAACTACAGATTATACCTTTTAAATATATGTTGTGTATGTCAATATTTATTATTTTCCATATACATGATGTTTTTAATTTATTTGGCAGTTAAATATGCTGCTTTCTGCATATTTTTTCACTAAATATTTCACTATATGTCTGCTGTATTTTGGATATCTATTTAACACATAAAGAAATTGGGGCTTAGTTAAATTACCCAAAGTCAAGTATTTAATCAAAATCAAGAAAAGAGATTAAAAAGAATACTACATTCAGAATATTTAATATTTTTTCCAAAATTATTTAAATTTGATTATCAAAACTTATTATTTTGTTTTTTGTTTTTTATTATGCTTTAAGTTTTAGGGTACATGTGCACAACGTGCAGGTTAGTTACATATGTATACATGTTTCATGTTGGTGTGCTGCACCCATTAACTCGTTATTTAACATTAGGTATATCTCCTAATGCTATCCCTCCCCCCTCCCCCCACCCCACAACAGGCCCCAGTGTGTGATGTTCCCCTTCCTGTGTCCACGTGTTCTCATTGTTCGATTTATTATTTTGTTAATATTACATATGCTTTTTTCTTTATTATAAATGAATTATAGGAAAATAAAGGTACTATTGTGATAATTTAAAATATTTTAATATACTTACAAACCCTCTCTTTTACTAAAGTAAATATGTCTTTATTTGGAATGAAATGATGATTTAATAAATACATTTTTAAGTAATCAAATTAATTATAAATTATAAGGCAAAATATGTTTTCTGAAGAACATTTAAAAAATAATTATCAAGTGTCAACTGACTGAAAATTTGTTTTTTAAACAAAGCATTATATAAAAGACATTCTATTACTAGTTTATTTTTCCAGTGTTGTTTAAAGGACATGGCTGCATATAGCTTTCTTATTCTCAGGTGTGACAAAAGAGCTGCAGTAACTGAAACAAATATTGATTGTGGGTGAGGCAGAGCTCATCAATGATAAGCCAAAAGTAAAATTAGAAGAGAGGGTTTATTGGAAGATAATGTTTTGATTACTCTTTTTAAATTGTCATGTATTATTATATATAGAATTTAGGAACAGAAAATCTATATTTAAAAGTACATATTATTTTCTCAAAATACTTAAAATACTTTATAATATAAGAAAACTATGTGATAGACTCTGTTAAGGACACCTTTAATTGTTTGCTTTTATTTCCACCTGGATTTTAATCAAATAATGCTTCTGAGGCTATCCATTCCTACTGTACAGTTTTCCCAAAATTCAAAACCTAATAATTCTACAGTTTATCTCTTGCTGTTCTTTTGGCACTTGAAGTAGCCTAGAGTTAATATTGTCCAATATTTAGACAGATTAAACACAAATTAAATATATGTGTAATGATTAAACGTGATAATTTAGGTCAGAAAATGTTTCCCTCAGAAAATAATGACACATTTTTCTGCTAAAACTATAAATTACAAAAACAACAACAAAACATGTGGTGTTCTGAATTACGAAGCCCTCTTATTACCTCTAAATTTGTGTCTGAAATGTGGTCAGTGAATTGCCCTAGATAAGCATTTCCCAATGCTTTGTCCCTGGGCAAATATTATTTGAAGGTATTCATTACAAAGGCATTTCATGTCAAAACAATAGTTTATAAACCCATAAACCCATTACTCCACATCCTCATTTTGAAATTTTACAGTGAAGATTGTCTCCATAACATCTCTCAAGTATTTTAATTAAAAATGAACTTAACTCTAACTCGCGGAATCCCTGGCTTTTCTGGAAAACATTTATTCCAAGTAAAATCTATTGAAGACCAATGCAAAGGATGATCCACAGAAACACTAGGGAATCACTGTTCTAGATGATTTTTGTTTTAACTTTGGGATTCTTAATGGTAAAGCTTAATAAGTAATGGGTTTTCATTTAGAGTAAATGATCCTAAATTGATGGTGTTTTAGCTTTTTCTATTAAAATTAGCTTTCTTTAATTTCTATGAGTTTGTCTATCATAAAATTGGCTTTGCTGAGCTGGAAAACCAGATATTCAGTGAATTCAATAAGCCGACCTGAAAAGACCTGGAAATAGAGTCATAAATAATAATGAATGTGTTATTCTCAATTCACTCAGCTGTGCGGGTTTTCCAAACCATTAAACAACTTCTCAATTTGCCGCAATTCAGCATAAGTGCTGTACTCTTTTCAAAAGAAGCCTAAGAATAAGAGATGGCAAATATGAGGTGAGAATTTAGGGAGTGATGAATATTTAATCACAGTAAAACCTGAACTCTTGTTTCAATGAGTAGTCACTTATACTATTCATCTATTATAAAAATAAAAGATGGAATTTTTATCCTGACCATTAGATTTCACCTCATGGCAATATACATTCATGCTAATGTTCGTTACTCTCAGAATATGTTAAAATACACATAAAATTGGGCAGATAAATAAATTACGCCTGAAATATAAAGATCTATTTAAATAGTAAATGTCCATTTTGTCTGATTGATCAATTTCTTAGGAGAGTGGAATGATATTTTGTCCTTATTCCATGTCCAGTAACAATGCCTAGAAATGTGTTTCCTCTTTAAATAAAGGTTTTCTCAACAGCTATTGTTTTCTTACTCCCTGTGTCACCAAGAAATTTTAAAAATATGCACCTTTAAAATGTTTTAAATCTCCACTTTCTGGGTACGATATTATTGCCTTTAGATTAGGCCTTATCATTTTTATGCAACGGACTCCATGTAAATTGCCAAACTCCTGTGACATCTTTTCCCACCTGTATTCATGCTTCACGATGCCGTCCCTCTTCAGTAAATTTTTTAAAAACACAAATTAAATCCTAATGTTCAGTGACTTTGAAATGCGCACATCATTTACATGTAAATAACATACCATATCCTTAGAATCATATATGTTATTCTTAGTTATAACCTTTTTAAATGTAGTTATTAAACTACTTGTAGAAAGCAATATAGCCTTTTGAAAATTCTAGTTTAGCACATGACAAGTCTTTCTGCATCTACTTCCATGCTCTGGCCCTCATACTCAGACATGCATACACTTAATTAACACCTGGTTTACCATTAAAAGCTCAACTCAGGGCCGAGTGCACTGGCTCAGGCCTGCAATCTCTGCACTTGGAGAGGCTGAGACAAGAGGACTGCTTGAGGCCAGGAGTTTGAGATCAGCCAGAGCAATGTAGCAAGTACCCATCTCTACAAAAATATTAAACAATATACATGCATGCCTGTAGCCCCAGCTACTCAGGAGGCTGAGGCAGGAGGATCGCCTGAGCCCAGGAATTCAAGGTTACAGTAATCTGTGATCACACCACTGCACTCCTGCCTGGACAGCAGAGCAAGGTCCTTTATCTGAAAACAAAACGAAATAAAACAAAAACTCAAGATTCACTTTCCTAAGAAAGACTTCCTTGTCTACTACTGGTGCTCTTCCTCAGGGTTCTTACAGCACTCTGTTTTAACACCCTTTCTAGAATTGATAATATTTCATTTAGATCATTTAGAGGTATGTGTCTTTTTGCCCTAATATGTTGTAAGTTCCTTAAGATTTTCATCTCCAATATTTGGCATACATTGGGCATTTAATAACTGGCTGCATCTTGCAATGTAAAGGATTTTTGAAAACAATTGCTTATCAATGTATAGTTAGATTTTAAACAGATGACTGAACTTTATTAGTAGTCTTTACCTTGTGAGTATGGAATTTTTTTGAACCAGTAACTATATTTGAAAAATTGAATTTGATTTTTTATATGGTGCTATATAAAATATTGAAAAAACAGGGAACATGAAACACAACTTAATTCACAGCAATACATGCTGAAACTTATTACAATTTGGCTTTTAAAATTTCATCATTTTGGCATATTTAAGTTTCAGAGTTTTGATTCTTCTTTTGTATGTATATTTATATGTATATATAGTATACATTCATGTACATATATATCAATGTGATACATTTATGCATATATGTTTACCTATGAAGATAACATACATATTTAATGATTTTTCTTATAATATTTTAATTTAATGTATTTTTTAGATGAGTGCTTTAATAGCACAGACTATTATTCTTCATAGAAGAATAGAAGTGAAGTCATTTTACTCTTTTTTATGACCATGCCAGTTTTTACCCAGTAAACAAGGTCATCCTACTTCTTGCTTTTATAAAAGTCCCCGGAGTAAGAGATAGATGCTATAAAAATGATATTCTTTCAGAAAAAGAATTTTTTTTTCAGAATAACATTGACTGGGTGACACTTGAGTGTTTCATGAATCTGTTTTTTGAGACAAATCTAAGTATAAATTATTGCGTTGTTTATTACAGTTTTCATATGTAATTTGAGCTTTTCAACATATTATTAATAACTAACTAATTGCTTATTATGTACAATACATAAAACAATTTCAAGGCAAGGTTCATAGCTCAAGAAAAGAGAATATCAGCCTAAATAAATTATTAAAATATTAGTGAGAAAGAATTATTACTGACAGTTAAGTTGAAATGAATGCAAGATGTTGGAATTCAGGTGTCCAGAGAGGAACCTTATGGAAAGACATTTTCTGTTGCAAGAACAACTGAATCTGTTTTTTGCATCATCCAATAGACACTGAACATGAATATTTGTATTGAGAAAGTGACAACTGAAACAAAGAAATACAGATGAATTCATTCATTCAGTGCTTCCACAGTATTAAGACTATTTATTCTTAAGAATCATGGAGAGCAAAAAAAAATCATAAATTCAAATATAAAAGAAGTTTTGCAAGCTGAAGTCCAGGTTTTACCAATCATGAAAAATGCAAAATTTTTTTATTTCTTATGTTTTTTTTTCATATACACTCTATTCAGAATTCATTCAACACCAAATTCTCCTAGGAGAAAAAAATGAGAAGCAAACGACATATGTTTTCAGACCTTAATATTTTGTTTTAATTCTCTGTACTTGACATCCTTTGTATTTAGAGCTTTCTATTCTATTTGCTTCCTAGACCAAGACTTGGGTTTAGAACATTTCCTAGTATTTTAGTTTCTCTAGTTAAAATATAACTACTAAATATCTTATCATTTCAGTATCTCTGAGTACTGATTAGAATATATGAGAAAAAACAAAAATAAAAGTGAATAATTACAACATATACAAAATGCCAATACAACTACATAAGACTAAGTACTGAGAATTACCATGAATGTTATAGAAGGTCTTGAAGACATTTCACTAGAGTGGAATAAAAACATTTTAGTAATTACATTGCAAAGCTGGAGAAAAATCTTCAAAGATAGCTAACAATACACATAGAGTAAAAGATAAATTTTAACATAAAAACATACTTTTTGCTTAGATTGTTGTAAATCAGATGTATTAGTGTGCTTCAGCTTACATAAAATCTTATAGACTGGGTGGCTTAAACATCAGAAATGTATTTTGTCACAGTTCTGAAAGCTAAAATCCAAGATCAAGGTGCCTGCAAATTTAGTTGCTGGTGAGGGCTTTCTTCCTGGCTTGCAGACAGCCTCCTTCTCACTGTGTTCTCACATGGCCTTTCCTCTGAAGAAACAAACAGAGAGAGATCTCTCTCTTCCTCTTCCTATATAAACATCAGTCTTATTGCATTAATACCTCATTTAGTATTAATTGTCTCCTTAAAGGCTCTTTCTCTAAAAACACTCACCTTGAGGTTAACGCTTCAACATATGAATTTTGAGGGGACACAATTCAGTACATAGCAACAGGTATAAAACTTTCACCTTCTATTAAGGTTATATTTGCCTTACACTTACTTTAATGAGTTGTGATGATCCAGTGGTAATAAAGAACATTTAATGACAACAAACCAAAGTTTAAGACATGCTTTTGAAAGTATTTCTCACATACCTTAAGGGTAGGAATTAAAGTATATGTTTTACCATTTCACATTGCCCTGTGCCTTTGGTAAAATGGAACTTCAGAATCCTAAGTTCAAGATTTTGTTCTTGGATCTGGCTTTTCTCTAATATTTGCTTCTCTCTCTCTCTCTCTCTTCTCCTGTGTGTGTGTGTAAAAACAGTATAATTACATACATTTATTATGAATGGGAACTGTATTCCCTCTATCCACCTCAAGATTTTTCTTCTAATTATAATATATGTGTAATTTGCTTCTCTAACAAAGTTTGTTCAAAATCTTTATTATGTTATCATGTGATACTCATGTTTTAAAAGATTAGAGTCCCTTATTCTAATTCAAATATTTTGTACTTTGTAAAACTAAACAACGATAATATTCATTGCTAATCAACTTCAAGTATTTGCTTTTATTTTATTTTATTTTATTTTATTTTATTTTATTTTATTTTATTTTATTTTATTTTGAGACGGAGTTTCGCTCTTGTTGCTCAGGCTGGAGTGCAATGGTGTGATCTTGGCTCACCACAACCTCCGCCTCCCAGGTTCAGGCAATTCTCCTGCCTCAGACTCCTGAGTAGCTAGGATTACAAGCATTCGCCACCAAGCCTGGCTAATTTTGTATTTTTTTTTTTTTTTTTTTTTTTAGTAGAGACGGGGTTTCTCCATGTTGGTCAGGCTGATCTCGAACTCCCGACCTCAGGTGATCCACCCTGAACACTCCCAAAGTGCTGGGATTACAGGCGTGAGCCACTGCGCCAGGCTTGCTTTTATTTTTCTTGTCTTTGAGGACAGGATAAGAGGTTAGGTGGGCCAAATATGAAATCATAAACTTGTTTGTAAAACATTGCATATATGTGCGTGTGTATATATATACATATGCATATATATGCATAAGACGTTGGATATATATGTAGTAGGAAGTCACTGATGTTATTTTAAAAGCTGATAAACATCAATATGAAATCATGAACTTGTTTGTAAAACATTGCATATAGATGTGTAGTAGGAAATCACTGATGCTATTTTAAAAACTGATAAACATATTGAGGTGATTTGAAATACTAGCAAAATGTTCATAGACATATAAAGTATCTATACAAATTTAGAAGCAAAAGCCACAAAAAGGTGGAGAATTTAAAGAGGGAAGGGCTAAGGAAAGAAAATAAACAGACTTTTTCAGCAGATAATCTGGATACCAGAAGTCTAAAAGCAATTTGCTGTATTATTGGTTCATGAAGTAATTTCACTTATCAGTTGACAGGGTAGACTAAAAATATTAGAAAGTATCACATAAAATAATATTTACCAGTTAGCGTTACTTTGGCCATTTCTAAAACAGTTCAGAGATGCTATTAAAAACATACTTTATTTTACTGATGATTAGAATCTCACTGTTGTCTGTGTATTGTGATCATAACTCACCGTATGGACAATGTCATACAGGAGGTATAATTAATTGATTATTTTTATAAACAACACCCCTATGAATATTTTACATGGAAAGTTAGCTTATACTTAGCCAAATTTCCTTCTTATGTTTTTATTAGTAAGAATTCTATTAGTATGTTTTTTTTTAAATATGTAATTCTAAAGATATCTAATTATAATTAGGAATTAATGAGTTCAATAAATCTGATAAAATAAAAACACATTGTTTTTATTATCTATTATTGTTCATCTTAAATAGAATTTGTAAACTTTGAACAATATTTTTAAACAATGATACATGATTTAAACATGTACAAAATATTTTTAAATATTTGATCTCATTTTAATATAATGTTTTGAGGAATAAAATAAAATTATATTATACATAAAGGAATTAAAACTAATGAAACTGAATAACTTGTTCATGTTTATTAAGCTTAAAAGGATTATAGTCAGACTCATATTTAAGACTTTGGATTCATGAATCTATAAACATTCCCTTCAACTTATTCATTTTTAAATACATGCTAAAATTTTATGCTATATTATTCATAGATCATGCAGACAAATTTGCTCGTTTTTTAAAAAAGAGGCAACTATCTTACAATGCCACTAACATTCTCTTTTTTCTGAGAATCTTACCATTAGAAATTGAGTCAGTCACACATGCTTAATACAAGAATACTTGTCATGCTCATACTTGTTTGTTTTCTACTTGTTTGTTCTGAAATTGCTTTTTTGAACATTGAGATTTTTCATATCTTGTGTATAGAAAGTATATATTCTACCACTCCATATCTTCAATTGTACCTAGTGTAGTACTGAAGATTAATAGACACTTAACATATATTTTGTGTAATATTTGTGGCTGCTATTAGTGGATGAGCCTTTCATTAAGTCAAAATTTATATCACACATATAAACACACTAAATAGCTTCAAACTAATGATAAGATTGTTTCTAATCCCTAACAATTGAGTGAATTTGTAACGGGTGAATAAGTCAGGGATGGTATCATACTAAATAGTTGTTGTTTAGGCCTTCAGATGATAGATTGAGTTTTTCTGTTGTAATTTCTTCTATTATTCCTGAGGTGAGTCCTTGCTTTTGTACGCTTACAATGTGATAATGATCACTTAGCTTAAACTTACCTGAAGTTGACACTAGATTTGCCTATGCAAAACGCATTCTACTGACATATTAATGTTTTATTGGTCATATTTACTAATTTATGTTTTTCCTCTCCTTGGTTAAATTTAGCTAAGAAAATTCTGATTGTTGCAAATCTAACTGGTTTCTGTTTGTATTGTTTCTAAACATTTCTGAGGGCACTAAAGTGTCAATAATTTTTAGATAGATTTACTGAGCATATCCCTTTTATACAATAATTCATTCACATTGCAACCTGATGTAATAATTCATTCACAGGGATATTGAGGACTCAGAGAACTCGAACTATGGTGAAAATGCGGGAACCTTTTTAGCATATCCTAGAGGGAAGGACCAGAGCTGTCACAGCGTCTGCCCTACTGGAGCTCGTAACCCATGAAAAGACACCACTACAGCCACATATTGCAGGGAGTAGAGAAATAAATATTCTTCCCTCTCCTCTCACCCCCTGACCTTCTGCTTATAATTCCCATTAGCTAGACCCAGCCAAAAACAAATCAGCGAGGAAGTCAAGTGATGTAGTTCCAGAAAGTTTAGTCTCCAAAGGCACTGAACAGGAAAAAAAAAAAAAAAGTGCAAAATGGATGAGGAGGAAGAAATGAAATATAAGCAGCCCTAAAAAGAAGAATGGGAGCAGATACACCAGTCAGAAGGTATTACAATAGTTGAGGCAGTGGTGATCTTAGTTTGTTCTACAGTTACAGTCTAAATATATTCTGGATATATTTTGAAGGTAAAATTGCAAGTTTTATACAGTGCTTTGATGTGTTGAATGAAAAGGAAAAGAGTAAGAGGGCCTTTAGGGTTATGTAACAATGTATGAGATGGAAGTTTGGATGGACACGTATATGAATAGGTGAATCAAGATAGATATAGACAGAGAAAGAACAAGAGAAATGTTTTAAGAATAGAATGTCTTATTTTGATTAAGTATTATTACTTTGTATTCTACTTGATTTCCTTCTTTCATTCCTCTGGACGTATTCTTTCTTTCTGAAATAGCCTTACTCTTTTCCATGCTTGGCAAACCTGTACTTATCATTATTGCTTAAGTTTATGCAAGACCTCCTGCTGAAAGTGTTTATCACATATCACCTATCTTCAGTACATTGAATATCTTTATCAATAGTCATTTCCACTAATAGAAAAATTTTCATTATTTTCTTATAGCTACATGTCTTTTTCTTAGTGAATTGTGATAGTTCAGAAAAAAACTTGTATCTATGTTTATGTTTTTAAGACTATGCCTCTCAAATCATGGGCAGGAACATGATAAATGTTCATTTCAACAACTAATTAAATATGCTCTTCTAGATGTTAGAATTAATCACTTTAACTCATATTTTTACAAGGAGAAAAGTAATTTAATTTTTATAATGAATGTCATCTTGTTTTCAAGCTTGCATTTGTACTAATGGCAGAACGATTTATACATAATATTTAGAAGAATTAGAAAGAACTCCATGTGGTTAACAGTTATGTCTTTCATTAAACTGGAAGTTCAAAGTCCTTATTAGGTCTATCTCTCCTCTCTCAAGGAGTCTCACCCAACCCCCAGTCTTTCTCCTCCCCAAGAGGGTGTCAGTTGAAGGAAGAGGCTTGTATGTCTTAACAGTAGTGGATGGAGATGTTTTTCTTCCACATACTCTTCTCTGGGTCCTGGACGACATGGCTGAAATGTCTCTGGGTGTCCCCTGTGGTAGATGCTGGTGCCCACTGATGTCTAAATCGAACTTGTCAGAACTGACCTTAGGGCGTGGCCTCTGCCCTTATTTACATCTGCTTCTGCTGATGTATCTAACAACTGGTGTAGTCAGTTGAAAACCAGTTATTGTTTAAATTCAGAATACATAGCATGTTTCCTTTATTTTCCTTGTAATTCATTCGGAGCATTGTATAAAATATATATCTGTGGCACCAGGAATTACCCAGATGAGTATATTTTTCATGCTAAAATGAATTTCATTATATATATATATTTTTATATTATACTTTAAGTTCTAGGGTACGTGTGAAAAATACATTTCATTCTAATGTTCTTTCCTAGCCAAGGATATCAATAAGTCTTTTCCAAATATTAAAATTATATTAACTATTTTTCTACTGCATAGTTAGTTAAATGATTTACCTTAAATTTAACCCTGAAATACTTCAGAGAACAAACATTCAACTTATGATACATCTTTTATAGAAAGTGCCCAATATTCCTTTCTGACTGAGCATATACAAATGAATAGGAAACTTAAATCAAGTATAGGGATACATTCTAGGGAAATACATATTCTTGTGAGTATTTTATCAATAACGTGTTTTAAACGTATTATTTATTCATCACCATACATTAATGTCAACTCTGTGGCAGACCTTTTGCTAGTCATGGGGCATATAATAATAAGTAATATGTCCACTAGGGGGAGACAGAGACAGAAATAAATATGTGCGACTACATGTTGAAGGTAAATTTGAGGCAAGTAGGTAGATAATAGGAGGCACAAAGGGAGGAGTAGTCAATATGCCCTGGCATCAGGGAAGACTTCATAAAGGAGGTGACATATGTTGTGTCTTGGAAGAGAAGTAAACGTTTGTCAGGGACTCAGGAAGGAGAGTTTTTAAGTAAAGGGAGCAAATTCAGTGCAGCATAAAATACATGTCATAGTCAAATTATTACAAGGTGTTTGGAAAATCTACAGCATAGAAGTCATGCAAGCACAATGAAAGAATACACTATAAGAATTAGGAGACAAAAAACGGAGAGTTTTATACAGTGTTCTATCAGGTTCGGAATTTACTATTGTTCATTGGAGGAGCCATTAAAGGTATTATTCAGGGAAACAGCAGGATTGTATTTATATGAGGAAGGTTGGAACGGTAGACAAGTTAGGTCATTATATCAAATGCTAAGAGAAGTGACTGGCCTTAGACAGCAGACATGATCTTGGGGAGGGAAAAGGATTACTATGAAATTGTAAGGAATAAAATGGGCCAAATTTTATCTTGAAATGAAAGTAGCAAATTTGATAAAGAGAAGAAATATAACTTGATGCCTACTAGCATTTTCCTGGAATTAATTAATTATCATTGTAGTTTAATTTACTGATTAAGGACAAAAAATACAGAAGTTTAGGGAAATATGCACTAAGTATTTATTATGTAAGATTACAGTATAGTGTAATAACAAAGTAAGGTGATTGCAGATAAAAGTTTTTAACAGACAGATGAGCAAAATGTTTGGAATGTCTGGAATTCAGAACATACTGTTATCCACTCACGTGAGAAGGGCTGAGACCGAGGGTAGTGTTGAGAATTGTAAGGATCTGCGATTTTACCCTGCTTGCAAGCTAACAATTAACCTGCCAGGGTTTAATGGATGCTGGCAGAAAATAGAAGACTCCTGGATCAGAGCAAAAGACTGTGTTATTCATGGCAATAGTAGTAGCAAGAAAATCAGCATTTTCCTCAGTTCCACAAATGCCAATTACCACATTGTGACATGAAGAGGACCAAGTGACACCTGTATGTGTAACAGGATGCATTACAAAAAAGGAAACTTGAGCTTAGAGAACCTGAATATTTTAGAATGGGCAGTGACTATACCTGCCCTTTGAAATGAAGGAAGATTTTTTTAAAATTTATTTTTCAACTGAACAATAAACAAATCTGTCCTTTGCTTCAGAAGAAGATACTATCTCTAGCTTCCAAAGTTGCACAGTATTCAAACATTCCTGAAAAGATAGTCCAGAAGAAATGCAGTGAATGCCTCTGCTCACAAACTGGGCAGAGACATGACAGGCCCATGAAGAACTCTCTGCCAACAGAAAGTAATAGCAATAATTATATATATAATATATAAAAAACATGTATATTATATATGTTATAACATATATAATATATAAAACATGCATATTAATATGTTATAACATATAATATATATAAAACATGTATATTATATAACATATATAATATATAATATATTATATAACATATATAATACCGTATATATAATATTTTCTATATATATTATTAGTCCGTTTTCACACTGCTATAAAGAGCTGCCCAAGACTGGGTAATTTATAAAGGAAAGAGGTTTAATTGACTCACGGTTCGGCATGGCTGGTGAGGCCTCAGGAAACTTACAATCACGGCGGAAGGGGAAGGGGAAGCAGGGACCTTCTTTACGAGGCGGCAGGAAGGAAAATTGCTGAGTGTAGCAGGGAGAGCCCCTTATAAAATCATCAGATCTCTTGAGAACTCACTATCATGAGCAGAAAAACCGCCCCCAAGATTACATTATTTCCACGTGGTCTCTTTCCTCTCCCTTGATATGTGGAAATTATGGGGATTAGAATTCAAGATGAGATTTTGGGTGGGGACACAACCAAACCATATCATATCATATCTCTATCTCTGTCTCTATCTCTATCTGTATCTCTATCTATCTCTATCTCTATCTATAGATCTATCTCTCTATGTATCTATCTGTCTGTCTATCTATCTATCTATCTATCTATCTATCTATCTATCTATCTATCTATCTATCTATCTAAAATTAGTACGAGTGATAAAATACTTAGTCCAGCAGCCGTTCTGGCATCACTCTCTGACACAAAGTCTTTCTACACTCTAACTAGTAGACAGTCTGTTTTATGGTTCTTGACTAGTACTTAGTGCCACTGATGAACAATTCCTCAGTTCTCAATATAGATTTCAACTTTAGCATATTATTTTCTAATACGCTCTGCTATAATTATAAATGCTTTCATATATATGATAGAATATTACATATATGTAATTCCTATATGTAATACATATATTCCTATACATATATTTATGAGTACAAATAAGTGTTTTCATTAAATATTCATAGCCAACAATTTTTTTCTTGTAAAAATATATTTCCAATATTTCCAGTTGGCACCATTTCAAAAATAGGTACTTGAGAGATGAAAAACTGGGTGTTACAATTAAGAATTTTCTTGGAATTCTCGTTCTATACCTCTGGCAGTTATGGCCTTCACATATAACAGTGTTTTGTGGTAAAAATGGATCACTTTAATGTATTCAAAAGACTATGTAAGAACCAATTATAATTTTGTGTTCTAGAAACTGGAGCAAAATTGTTAGTAACAGAAACTCATAAATGCAAATGGCATTAATTAATAAGCAGCATTTACAATTTCAGAGAAACTAATAACATTATGCATAGGAATAATGTTATATAAACTTCTGTTTATCTAATTACTGCAGTTTGCCAAGAAAATCATAAATCTCCTTAAGTCCTTAGCCTTTCTTATGTGCTTGTGCTGTGGTTTGGATATTTGGCCTCTCCAAACTTCATGGTAACCAATGTGGGATGTGTTTGGGTCATGGTAGAGGATCCCTCATGAGTAGCATGGTGCTCTCCTTGTGGTAGTAAGTTAGTTTTCACTCTATGCTTTCCTGGGAGAGCTGGATGTTAAAAACAGCCTGGCACCTCCATGCTCTCTCTCTTTCTTCATTTCTTGCTGCGTGATCTCCGCACACACTGGCCCCCCTTCATCTTCCTCAATGAGTAGAAACAGCCTGAAGTCCTCAACATAAGCAGATGTTGGTGCCATGCTTCTTGTACAGCCTGCAGAACTATGAGCCAAATAAACCTCTTTTCTTTATAATTTCCCAGTCTCAGGTATTCAATTCTAGCAACACAATGGACTAAGACTGCCTGATAAATTAATAGCATTACAAGTTAGAAGTCAAAGACTTTATGGATTACAAAATCAAAATCATTTCCAAAGTTAAATTTTGCCTCTAGGATCAGGATGGATTATCTTTTCTTGGGATAGGAAGTAATTTCCCTTTATTTAATTTGGAATAGGTTTTATAAATCTATGAGAAGACAGCATTGAAGTGAAAGGGAAAGGGGGATTAGTAATATTGGTTGAGTGATTATTATTAAGCCTTACGCTAAGCAAAGTCTCCATATTCTATTTACTCTCACATACTTTGAAGAAGATGTAATGTCTTCATTTTACAAATGAAATATGGATGCAAAAATGAAACAAAACAAAAACAACATACCTTATCCAGTTATATCTAGGAAAAACAAGGTGGGGCTCTTCTAGAGTTACATTGTATCTGGCATGGTAAGAATACAGCAAGTTCTCTTGATAAGAAACTTACTGTATTATCACATTCACTGGTGAATACCACTTTAAACACTTATCTTCCAGTATGTATCTACACATTAAACTGATGAAAGTAGCTGCTTGCAATGACTTTCTACTGATATGCAAGTCCAGGAGGGCCATGTGTAAAGAACAGAAGTGTAAGTAGTTGTATTACTTCATTCTCATGCTGCTAATAAAGACATACCCAAGACTGGGTAATTTGTAAAGGAAAGAGGCTTAATCGACTCACAGTTCAGCATGGCTGGGGAGGCCTCGGGAAACTTACAATCATGGTGGAAGGAGAAGCAACAACATCCTTCTTCATATGGTGGCAGGAAGGAGAAGTGCTGAGCAAAAGGGGGAAAAGCCCCTTATAAAACCATCTTATCTCTTGAGAACTCACTCACTATCAGGAGAACAGCATGAGGGTGAACGCCCCCATTATTTAACTACTTCCCACTGGGTCCCTCCCATGACATGTGGGGATTAGGGTAACTACAATTCAAGATGAAATTTGGGTAGGGTCACAGTCAAACCATATCAGTAGTTTAACAGTTCTTGTTTTGAAAAAGTCAACCAACTGAAAACTAGGTTGTCAGAAGAAGATATAGCAGGAATTTTCTCAGCACAGCCTAATATACTGCGGCTTAACTGTAAGTACTAGAAAATAATAACCATCTGCTCAATTATATTATAAATTACTTTAAGTTAGGAACCAATAAATTATCTTTGCACACTCCAAAGTGTCTGGCATAGGGTTTGACACATTCTAAATTCTATTAATGCCTTTGGTATCAAGATTAATAAATATATTTTCATTTATTCCTGAAGTTTTTTCTCAGTAAAGATGTTTGAACAACTCATTTCATACCTAAACTTTAGAAACTCTACAAAGTATATGCCCAGTGGAATTTTCTTTACTTGGGAGAATTATTTTAATCCCTTATTGACTTGCATGATGCATCTACCTTGATGTTTTCACAGGAACTTATTTCACTGATGTTGATCAAAAGAGGTATGTTGGGCTTTGATCAGAGTAAATCTGAAGAAAGCTGGAAATCTGCAAATATAAAGTGATTAAAATTTTTTCTCCATCTTCTCTTAGTGAAATGAGGAAGCAAAATGCTGACTGATACCTTCTAATTAGTGTGAGTCAAATTAAAAGGTTTTAGTTAAAGATAATTGAAATAAGGCTAAAACAAAACCAAAGTTTAACACTAGGTCCACGTCATTATTGAAATCAGAAAATCCATTTTTCCAATTAATCAACTGAATGTTGTCTCTTCAATTGCTGTCCTGAAGATTTGTGTCAAGGTATTTCTGGGACCATCCTACCATCCGAGTTAACATTTCTGAAATAAAATGTGGGAGAAGTAAGGGAAGAATTCTCAACATTTCTTACAGTTCCAGATGCTTTTTACAGACGTGAGGCCATTACCTATTCCGGATGGAGTGTGAAGGAGCCTTGCAGATGTATCCCTCTCAAGGAAGCTATGCTTAAGGATGACCATTAAATTAGTACCTTTTTCTCGTTAGCTAGTCAGTCTAAGGCTGTGCGTGCTTACTCTTGTCTCTTAATTCAGAGCAATTTCTTATAAGAAAAACTAAAATAAATGCAGGATAATATGCATAGATGCATGTTACAATAATTTTTCTATTTTACAAGCATTTTACTCATAACAAGATGGTTTGAATCCAGGTTATGATTTAAGACCCCATTTAGCTAATACAGTTCATCAATTTCAAGTAATAATTTCAAGTATTGAAATGCAGTTATTTCTACAAACTATTAATTAGTAAAACTATCTGACTACTAGTAGGTAAATGTTTTCAAGATTTTTTTCTTAATGATAATGATCATCTTAGTCTTCATGAGTTGCAGATAGATGAGTTCTGCAAGAAAGGATGATCCAGAAACTTACTGTAAATGATAACTTGGGAGCTTGTCTGGGACAGGAAAGGTCTATAATAGAGAACAGGGACATAGGAGCATGCTAGACATATTTAGAAAGAGAGAGGAGTCCAGAAAAGGAAGGAGCAAGGGAAATACCAATGTCTATTAATATCTTTTATTCTAAGATTAATTGTATTGATGCATCAAAAATATGTATCAAATGCTATGTTAATAGCTCAATACATATTTAACATGTTGAAAGTTATTACTTCATGCAACTCTAAAGTCAAAAATGTCTCCAATTAATCCAGTGATACAGATCAAGTAAGTGTTTCTTTCAAAAAACTCATACTGTCCTCAAAAAGCATGAATGTGCAACGTACTTTCTTTTGATTTTGAGTCTGCATCAGGCTCCTCAGTGAGTTTGCAAAGATGACCTACAAATTCCTATAGTCTGTGTTGCCCAGTCAGAAATAATTTTGTAAAAGAACTAAAGGAAGCGTAGTAGTTTCTCATGATAAATCTGCATGTGTTTGAATATATCCTTTTCTAATTATCTTCTTGCAAAATGTAATTATAAATAACAGAATTTTATAAAAATATACTCTTTGAATTTCAAGCATAAAATTTAAGTAAACACAGTACTTAAAAAAGAGACAGCTACCTATAAAAGCATAAAAAATAAAAGTATATATGTATGTTTTTCAGTTGTGACTACTAAGTATAAACAATACAGTTATAAATTGTGAATTGAAGAAATTACAGAACATGTTGAAGATAAGGCCTAGTCCAGTGGAGACTTGTTTATAGATAAAATAAAGATAACCTTCAAACGCTATTTAGAAACACAGGGTAAAACTAGGAGTCAGTCAGATAGTTCAAAAGAAGAAAAAAGCCACATTAAAGACAAAGTGCGAAAATTGTTCTCGTGAAGGATAATGTATAGAACAGCCTTGACAATGTAGAAGGTTGATCTGGAGGCACAGTGACAAATGAGCCTAAACAAGGTGCTTTAAGTTACATTAGGAAATACTTTCAGTTGTAGTACATGGAATTAAAACAAGACAGCAGGACAGTGAATGATCAATGTGTATGTTTTAGGACGCTGTGGGAGTAGTTTGAATTCTGTATATGATAGCTGGTATCAAAGATAAGAATTTAAGTGATGGATCTTTCTCAAAAATTTGGAAAAGTGTTAATGAGAATTTCAACTAGGGAAGTGGCTTTTGGAATGGAAAGCAAGTAATGAAATGGAAGGGTCGTAGACAGTTTCATAGTAATCAACAGTATTTGGGAGTAGTGAAATGGAAGGGTCCTAGACAATATTATAGTAATCAACTGTATTTGGTGACTGTTTGGATGTGAGGTTGACCAAAGAGATAAAGAACTTTGCTAAGTGGAATTATCAATGAGCCAGGGATCTCAGGAAGGAAAACAAATTTTGGAAATATGTATTCATATATCATATTCTCAAAAAAAAGTTTGAAGTAGCTTAAATAGTTGAAGCTTAAAAGTGAAGTGCAGGTAATTAAGTACCCTAAATCATCAATAAAAATAGAAGACAAAGTCAATTACAGGAAGAAGAGTAATGGGAAAAATAAGTTCAGATTTAAATATATGAGTTTGAATTGTTAGTGGAATATTCAGGTTAATGTTTCCTAGTTAAGGGTCAAATCACCTTGCAGTGATGTCCATGAGCCCAAATTATTTCTGTAATGGATTTTTGCTATCGAATGTGACTGAAAATAAACATGCTATCAACTGGGTCTGGAATAAATCATTTAGTAATATAGATATTTGGTTGATTGTTTAGCAAAGAGGTTTCTAATAGACATAAACATTTATAATTATTATTAACGTATGCATTGAATTTGAGATGTGATATTGAACATATTTCTGCTTATGAATTATATATTTTCAAACTTTGGTAATGAATAAATTATTTAAAATAAATTAATAGATTCAAGAATGACAGTAAATAATCAATCACTTAAATAGTTCTTGAGCAAATCATGGGGCCTATAGCTCTGTTAGTGGTACCAACAATAAATAGCAGATTTTTTTTTCTGATTTTCTGCAAGTTTATAATTTAGCATATTTTTAAGCCTTTAAGTGACTACATATATGGTAACTGTTCAAAATCTGATATGACTGATAAAACTAAATGTTGACTGTGACCTGAGTGATGAAGTAAATCTTCATGAAAGTAATAGGACCTTCAACTAGACTCTGAAGATTCGGGTCATATTTTAATAGAAGCCCCAGAGGAAAAAGGCATTAAGGACAGTAAGATAGAGAGAGAGAGAAAGAGAGCATAAATGTGCTTGGCTTAAGAATACAGCATGATCTGTTCCAATGAGAAGAAAGAGATCAGAAGAGCTAACATATAAAATGTAGAATAACGTGCTTCAGGGTATTGGGGAAAGTGACTATAGATTAAAAAGAGTTATATTGTAGAATTTTTGGCATACTCATCTAAATTTGTTGAATAATGTCTTACAAACAATAACAAACTAATGTATACTCTTAAATATAGCCTAAACATGAAAGAATTAAGATGTTTTAGGGGAACAGAGAGAAGGTTGGACTTGAGTAAAATAGATTAGTGGTGAGTGAAAATGATGTTATTCGAGACCTATTATAGCACCTTGGACAAAATAAGCACTGACTAAATATTTGATGAATGAATGAAGGAAGGAATGAAGGAATGAAAAGTGCTGAGCCCAAATCGGATGCAATTAAATCATTAAGGATGAAGGCGATGTTCATACAGGGTGGAAGGTTAACTTATTTTACTTTTAGAAATTCTGAGCTTTCAAAATATGGAACAGTAAACCCATGTTAAATAAATAAAAGTTAATCAAAAATTATAGCATCACAAAACCCATTTTACTTGTTGCTAATAAGAACTTTCATTTCGGTTAATTTTGTGAGCTCTACTTATTTTGATTATGTCATTATTCTTCTGTACTTATACTGTCAGCTTGGCCAATTATTATTCATGTTAAGGCAATCAACTATTTCTGTATTCAGAATAAAATTAATGAACCTGCTACTTATTTCATATGCATTTTTTTCTTGTTTCCTCAAATGCTTGAGGAGGAATCATTCAAATGTATCTGATGTAAGTTTTAGCATGTCATTAATTTGTGTTTTCATTTTGAAGTGACAGCCATGGAAAATGATTTGGAATGCTCTGTTGTATCTACTTTTCTTTCATTTTTAAATATAAATAATATTCTTAAATAATTTGGCCAGAATAGTAGTTATGTCAGTAGGATGGATTGGGAAATACTACAGTCTCTTAAAATTTCAAGATTCAATTCTTTGCCAAAATTATTTTTAACTGAAGCTAAAAGGGACTTTAAATGTAAGAGGAGGAACTATCTACTCCTGGGTGGTATACTCTTTCAGGCTGCAGGCTGATATTGACAATGGTAGAGTTAGTCCCACTTGTGGAAACTAAGGCTGTTGGCAATCACATCTACTCAAATAGTCACTAATGAAGTGCTACGAGCTTTGGTGAACAAACTGTCTCATACTGCCAAGTTTCCAGCATAATTGTCCATTTTTCTCTCTGTATGTCTTTGAACATAAATAAAGTCTGAAAGGTGGGGAAGGGTCAAACAAAGCTCTCTAGGTATGAGGCACTTTCTGTTTTCGCTTGTACAGTTTGACAGTCCTAGCCACGGCTCACTATTTATTGTGTTCCTGGAAAGTTCTGTGATGACTGAACTCTTTCCTTTCACCAGCACCTTAAATAGGCTCAGGGTTCATTTAGCACTGAATATGATCATTGTTTCCCTGTGGAATGTCTTAGACTGCTTTAATGCAAATACCTGAAATTATTTTATTTGTATTAGATATATTTATAAGACATTGAAATAAAAATTTTTCTGCAGCTTATGAGATAATATTTTATTATTCATGGCTTTCATTTTGTCATGCACAAAACTTGAAAGGCAAGCTATGAAACTGTCATTTATTCTCTAAGGACTGTCACTTCTAATAGGAATCAATTTTGTTTTATAGATTCAAATTCTGAGTTTATTTTTAGCACAAGATCCAGTAGGAAAACAAAATTTTGAGATATTATGAAATAAGATGAAGTACATGAAATTTTGTCACTTTATCATGAATGTGAGAGTGTTTTCATAACTATATATGTTTTCATAATATAGCCCAAGGATATAGTTTTAGAAGAGTTAGTACTTTTTCTTTGGTCTATAATATGTTTAAACTTATTTTTCTTTAAGTATTTATTCAATATTGCCTTCCATTTTGCAGTGGACTCCATGACCAGATGAAAGGTATAGATGTGATTGCTGCGCTTGGTACATCTCCTATTTTCCTGCCTTTAAATTATGTTTTTTTTTTTTTTTTTTTTTTTGCTAATGCAGTATTACTCTAACTTAAGGAATAGCTTATGATGTAGGTCTTTTCTTATTTCTGGATGTGAACTGTATAGTAGGGTGTTGCTATAATTTATATTTCTTAAATGATATTTTAGAAGGTTGTCTGTAATACAAGTTTTTATAATGTAAATGTTTTCTGGCTTTTACTATAAAATTAGAGTGTATGTCATTTATGTAATAAAAGTAGGTCATCCAGCAAGAATAAATTCATGTATCTTGTTTTGTTTACTTATGATAGTATTGTAAAAGTTATTTACAATATCAAGCAGCATCTATACAGGCAATATAGTGCAGAGAATCATGACAAGGATTCTAGACAAGAGGGTATTTTTCTTGACACATTAGATAATTTTTACAGAAAGAAGACAATTTTTTAAAAAGACATGAAAATTGATTCTATTTTTTGTTTGAGAGATTGCAAAAACACTGCAAAATCTAGATACTTGAATGATGCATCCTATTTTTATAAAGCAATACTTTCAGAAGATTATTTGAAATACCTTTAGCATCATAATTTATGTATTATTACAAACATTTCAAATAAAATCATATAATACTCTTGGAAAGCTGCAATTTGAAGAGTGTGCACACAGGATTAAAACACTCAGCAATGCTTTAATGTTGCTAAACATGTGACTATTTTGATCATGTGGTTCAATGTATGAAACCATCAACAAGTAAATTATGGTGTATTATAGTAACAAATTTAATGGTTATTTACAATGAATAATATTTTAACAAATGTATTTATTCATATATATATTTTTTTCTAACCAAAATGAACTTGTTAATAAAGCCAATAGAACTTTAGAAGAGTATGTGAAAAGAAAATAATGCTTTCAAACAGGTAACTGAAGGGAAAATACTTATTCTAATTAAAAGTTCATGACATTTCTGGCAGCTGGAATGCTCTAACAAATTCGTTGTCAAAAGTTCTAGCTATAAATGGCTAAATTATTCCGATTTTTCATATTGGTAAATTCTGAAAATTGTGTGAGTTTATCCTATATATTTCCTGGTCATGTTTGATTCTGAAGCTACTGGGTTACCCTATAACGCATCAGTTATTATTTAATCACAAAGAAAACTGACAAGGTTATAAGGAGATAGGGCATATCTGCAAAGTGACCACCTAGCTGACAGAGTTGTTAACGAAAGAACATATTGCCTGTGGAAAAGTCTTATGCTCTGTATCTTTTATCCTAAAATTTGTATATACATAAACCAGAACACTGGAAATGTTTAATTCGTTTGGATAGCATAGAACAGGATTTTAAAAACTTGTTATTTAGTTTGTTGTCTTGTATGATAGAAGTATATTATTATCTCCAGGTTACCTAATTAGGTTATAAAGCAACTTATTAATGATTTTATTTTTCTTGCAAAGAGACATTTTCCTGTATGTATTATAGTAAACTATTATATTATAGTTTACTACATTTAACAAGGCAAACCTCAAATATTGACTTTTTAAGATCTATTTTTTTTCAAATATCGACATCTCTGAGCCCATAGGATCTTGAAGCAGTAATATTAGAAATGAGAATTTAAAACAGAAACAGAGTATTCCATCGTAACTCCACTTAGTTATGTTTTACCTTGATGCTCCACATGATTTCAAGATATTTTGTTCATTACCTTCATAGAAATATTCATGTTAGTATTAAATTTTATCATCATTTTCCAAAGAGCAAGTGCTAGTATAAGTTATAGAAATACAGTATCTCATTTTTTGTGTGTTTATAAAATGTACTTGAAATTTTGTCAGGTATATAGAAACAATACACATGAAATAAAATAATAGATACTTGCAATTTCAACTATATAATATGGTTTCATATTTAAGTTGAAATTGCTCACAGAGTAAACAATACCAAAAACTAGCTAACTTTTATTTCTGCTAAATTTTTTGCATAATATAAATAGTTGAAACATATTTTTGTAACACTAAAATGTACAGCAGAATGACAAAGTGGGTAAGTTTTCATTCTATTTGATTTTCTTCTCTGAGAAGTACATTCATTGAATTTGCAATTTATTTGTAGCTATTATTGGTGAAATGTGTTCAGTGTTGAATTCCTATAAGACAACAAAATATGTTTTGTAATAAGCAAGCAGACTTTATTATACCTATTCCACTATGAAAGAACACTACCTATACAAAGCCTTGGTGTATCCTCTATAGAAAAAAGTCACAAGAAGATATTTATGATTCCAGAGCTTGGCCTGGGTTATTTTAAAGCAGCCTTTGCACTGTGGTAAAATGGTGGGGCTTATGTACAGTTTATATCATAATAGCTTAGGATTAGTGTGCACAGCAAGGTTAGGCTCTTGAAGCAAGTGTTGAAGGGCAAGTTCTAGTCTTGCTAGCTATTTTTGTGGGTTCACAGATGTCTCATCCTGCGGGAGCAAATATTTCCTGGATCGAATACTTATTTTTTTTTAGTTTTCACCATAAATTGACATAGGAACAAAGAAGCATGTCCTGTACCAGTTCCAAGATGTGTGCTAAGAAAACAGAAATTTCTTTTGTACATATGAAGTGAAGGGATTTAGATTTCTGGTTCTTATATACTGTGATGTTTGTTGTCTTAATAAATAAATAAATAAATAAAAAACCCAGAAGAAAAACCTTATTGCTTGAATCAAATTACTCAGAAAATGAACATTTTATAACAAACTGGCAATAGGAAGCTGGGTAGTACTCATAATAAAATTATGATCAAATTGTACCTAGTAGGATCTGTTATGGGCTGATATTTCTGTCCTACCCAAACTCACATGTGGTTGGCCTAACCCCCACAGTAATGCTATTAGGAGGTAGGGCCTTTAAAGGTAATGAGGTTTAGATGAAGTCATTAGAGTTGTCAGAGACGAAATGCAAACACAAGCTATGGTGTTTATAAGCAAGAAACTGTTACAAGTAATAATTTAAAAATATACAACAATAGGTTACAGTGGTTATAAGTAATTTAGTTTGTCAAAATGAGTAGGAGTAGGCCAAAGTTACATTTTACACAATATTTTATTCATAAAAAGGAAAATAGTATTTGAATACAGCATACCTTGGTCATTTTATTAAATACAAGACACATTTTATTTTCATTTTATTTTATTCTTATTTATTTTTATTTGCCATGTCATATATTGAAATAAATAATTCATAATATATTTTTATGTGTACATCTATGGGCATTGAACATTGTATTTCTTTAAATTTATTACTTTAAAATATTATAAACCTAGGCACATAGAGTTGATGATCTTTCAATACTTTATTTTTATAGAATTTATTTTTTCTTTTATAATTATCCATTATTTATAAAATTTGATATAATCCTTATCTATCTTTGCATGTATTTGTTTGTAACATTTTCTTAGAAATTGAAAAGTTATTCACAAATTATCATTAATTAATCAATAACATTAGTCTATTGCCTTAAAGTTGTCCAAGTAAATGTAAATGACGAGTTAATGGGTGCAGCACACCAACATGGCACATGTGTACATATGTAACAAACCTCCACATTGTGCACATGTACCCTAGAACTTAAAGTATAAAAAAAAAGTCTAAGCTAACACAGGAAGCCTTTTCTGATTTGTAGCTGTACAAGAATTCACAAGATTAAACCTCAGTAGAAGATACCACTTATTGAAATTTCATTTAATCAATCTTGTACTTTGGCCATCCTAAATCATTTTTAAAATTACTTATAACTTACTGTACCACTAACATATAATTTTTAAGTGTAAAATATGAGAAATTAAACCCAAGTCCTATTTATGTAAAAATACTATGCTAAAATTATTTTTACATGGTACTGAAGTCAAGAAGGCATAGGGTTACTTGTAAGCTAAAATTAATCCACCCTAATTAGTTAAAGGAGCCATCAAAATACTAGGGATAGCATAGAAACTCGTTTTAATATAAATTATTCTCTGCATTCATATGCCAAAATTTAAAGATATTTAAATCTATGTCATGAGTCTACTTTTCTAAAACCTAAGCTGTTTCCAAACTCTTGCATTCACTTTTTTATTCTGTTACAATTTTGCAAGAAGAAACATGAAAAAGGAGTACATTTCTAATTTTTTTTCTATTTTTTTGTCTTTTGCTTATTTGTACAAATTTATGAAGTACATGAGAAATTTTGTTACGTGCATATAGTGTGTTGTGATCAAGGCAGGGTATTTGGCGTGTCTGTCACCTGAGAACAATACATTTTTGTTAGGTATAGTCACCCTACTCTGCTATCATACATTGAATTTAATCCTTCTATCTTACTGAGAGTTTTACCCTTTAACTCAGTTTGCTTCCTTGTTCTCCATATCTCCCACTCACCCTTTACAGTCTCTGTTATCTGTCTTTCAACTCTCTACCTCCATATAATGAATTTTCTTAACTCCCACATAAAAGTGAGAACATGTGATATTTGTCTTTTAGTGCCTGGCTTATTTCACTTAAGATAATGACCTCCAGTTCCATACATGTTGCTATAAATGGCATGATTTTATTCTTTCTTATGGCCAAGTAGCATTCTATTGTGTATATATACCACATTTTCTTTATTCATTAACCCATTGATGGGCACGTAGGTTGATTCCATATCTTTGCTATTATAAATAGTGCTGCAATAAACATGTGAATGCAAGTATCCTTTGATATACTGATTTCTTTTCCTTTGGGTAGATATCCAGTAGTAGAATTGCTGGATCAAATGGTAATTCTACTTTTAGTTTTTTGAGAAATCTCCACATTGTTTTCCATAGTGGCTTTACTAGTTTACCTTCCAACAAACACTATGTAAGTTTCATTTTCTCCTCATTCACACCATCATGTTATTTTTTGTCTTCTTAAATAGTCATTCTGACTGGGATAAGATAGTATTTCATTATGGTTTTGATTTATATTTCTCTGATGATTAATGATGTTGAGCATTTTAGCATATACCTGTTGGGCCATTTGTATGTTTTCTTTAGAGAAATACCTAGTCATGTCCTTCGCCCACTTTTTAATGGGATTAGTTTTTTCTTGTTGAGTTGTTTTTTGTTTCCTGTACATTCTGCGTATTTGTCCTCTCTTGCATAAATAATTTGCTAATATTTCTCCCATTAAGCAGATTTTCTTTTCACTTTGTTGATTTTTTTCCTTTGTTGTGCAGAAGCTTTTTAATTTGATATAGTCCCATTTGTCTTTTTATTGTTGTTGCCTGTGCTTTTGATGTCTTAGTCATAAATCCTTTGCTTAGACCACTCTTTATGAGAACTTTCTCTAGGTTTTCTTCTAGTGTTTTTATATTAATAGTTTTGCAACTTACATTTGTGTATTTAATTCATTTTGGGTTGATTTTTGTATATGGTGACAGATAGGAGTCTAGTTTCATTCTTCTGCATGTGGCTATCCAATTTTCCCAGCACCATTTATTGAAGAGGGTGTCCTTTCCCAAGTGTAAGTTCTTGTTGACTTTCTTAAAGATCAGTTAGCAGTAAATACGTGGCTTTATTTCTGGCCTCTCTATTCTGTTCCATTGGCCTATATATCTATCTTTAGAGAAATACCGTGCTGCTTGGGTTAAGTCAGGTAATGTGATACCTCCAGTTTTGTTCTTTTTGATCAGGATTGCTTTGACATTTGGGCTCTTTTTTGGTTTGATGTTTTATATATATTTTAGAATTGTTTATCCAATTCTGTGAAAAAATGACTTTGGTAATTTGAAAGAGATTGTGTTTAGCCTATAGAATGATTTGAGCAATGCGGTCATTTTAATGATATTAATTCTTCTGATCTGTGAGCATGGG
The DNA here is from genome assembly GCF_000001405.40 of Homo sapiens. Taxonomy (NCBI): domain Eukaryota; kingdom Metazoa; phylum Chordata; class Mammalia; order Primates; family Hominidae; genus Homo; species Homo sapiens. The sequence continues at coordinate 69,841,580 of NC_000013.11, read as the reverse complement.
ATTTTTTTTATTTGTTTGTGTTATCTTCAATTTCTTTCATTAGTGTTTTGTAATTTTCCCTGTAGAGATCTTTCACTTCCTTAGTTACATTTATTCCTAGTTTTCTTTTTAGTCACTGTAAATAAAATGGACTACTTGTTTTTTTTTCTCAACTAGATTGTTATTAGCATATAGAAACAAGAAACACTGCTGACTTTTGTATATTGATTTCATGTCCTGCAACTTTATTTATCAAACCTACTGTTTTTTTTGTTGAGTCTTTTGGTTTTTCTAGATATAAGACTATATAATCAGTAAACAGGAGAAACTTGACTTCTTCTTTACCAATTTGGAGGCCTTTTATTTCTTTCTCTTTCCTGATTGTTCTGACTAAGACTTCCAATACTATGTTGAATATGAGATGTGATATTGAAGGGGAAAAAGTTTAAAGATTTTTATTTTTTATTTGTAATGCTTTAACTATTTATCTAGTTAAGCTATTCCTAACGTGTGTTCCAAATGAAAGAATAGTATCTTTATGATCAACTAATCCCAAATTTTCCCAAAAGGAGTGAAAAGGAGAGAAGAAAAATGAGAATTCATGAGAGCCAGCTTTACATATACATAAATTTAGTACTGTAGAGGTTAATTATTTTCCTTCTGTGGCAATGAAAAGACTCAGATACAAGAAACTATATATTTGACACACAGATGATCAAGAGTCATTGTAGATAGATAGAAACATAATTATAAAGTTTATGAACACCACTGGGCCCTTGTTAGAAATAGTCCCTTTGGTGAATAAAAAAAAAAAAATTTACTAAAAATAGTAGTCCTTTCAAAACTTTCCATTGGAGATCTTCTATACATACATACATACATACATACATACATACATACATATATATATATATATAAAGTTAATGTTCAAAATAAAAGTGCGTAGAAAGGCAGCTAAGGTATTAGTATACAACAAAAGGAAACTGAGCCAAGAATGTAATTAATCATCTTCACTTATGTAATTCCAAAGCATCTAGTAACTAATATTATGTTTCTTATTCAGATTAAAACTGTTCTGGGCCAGGCACAGTGGCTCACACCTGTAATCCCAGCAATCTGGGAGACAGAGATGGGTGGATCACCTGAGGTCAGGAGTTCGAGACTAGCCTGGCCGACATGGTGAAACTCTGTCTCTACTAAAAACACAAAAATAAGTTGGGCATGGTGGTGCACATCTGTAATCCCAACTACTCAGGAGACTGAGGCAGGAGAATTGCTTGAACCTGGGAAGCAGAGGTTGCAGTGAGCCGAGATCACACCACTGCACTCCAGCCTGGGTGACAGAGTGAGAGTTTGTCTCAAAAAAAAATTATACTGTGTATCTTATGTGTTTCTATACTCTTTATGGCACCTCTTATAGTTTTATATATTAGGTAGGCTTACACATTTTAATTAAAGTCATAATTATAGTGTTAAATTTAATTAGTCACATGCTGCCATTTTTATTCATTCAATGAACATTTGTGTACAGATGTGGTACAATTTTTTTATCAATGTACAAGAAAAGTTCAGTGAGTAAATGCTAAATTTTCTACTTATTTATTTTCTAAATCTATGGGACACATTTTATTGTCACTCAAAGTGAAACAGGATCCATTAAAAAAGAAGACACTAAAAGAATCAAGGAGAAAAATAATCTAAAGAGCGAAAGAGAAAGAGGAAAATAAAAGATACTTTGGATGTGTGCAAATAAATGTACACAAAATAATTTGCAGAGACAATAACCTATTATAGCAAAAAATAGACACAATATACTTTAAAACTACTGGTCTCACTCTATTGGTCTATTGGGTGCTGAATTTTGGTATAAAATTTTCACTATTGGAAACTATTACTTTGCCTAATACACAACTTTTAAATTCCTTATATAATTAAAGAGATGTTATGAAGAAATTTTTTCATCTTTATTGAGTTATTTTGAATTTAAAAGAGATTTAAACTATACTTGAAACATTTTAAATTAAATATATGAACACTTACAGTAAGCTTGTAATGGCTTAATTTGTTGAAGTCTATTTTCAATAAATTAAATGTCTTTCACCTGACATGTTTATGGCCAACACAAGTAACTATACTTGATTTTCAGACAGCTTTCATAAAAAGAAAATGAATAGAAAAGCTGATCACTATAAGTGTTTTTTTTACTCTGTGTGGTAAAATGATAAATAATATTGAATCAAAAATAATATCCATTCTGTCTCTGTTGAAAGCCATTCATTTTATACATTTTTATTTGTTACTGTAATGAATTCTTACTACACCCTGCATCCTGCTCAATATAAGGATAATATCACAGACATTAAACTTCTAGTTTTAAGGAATGACATAATGTTCATCTCTTTGAAAACATTATTAACAGCTATTGTGTATTATTCACAGATATTGGCTGACCTAGAAAATCATGCATTATTTAAGAATGATCTGGAATGTCAAAAGCTGATTCTAGAAGCAATGAAATACCATCTATTGCCAGAAAGAAGAACTTTAATGCAAAGTCCGAGAACTAAACCCAGAAAATCTACAGTCGGAACTTTGTATGCTGTAGGAGGAATGGATAACAACAAAGGTATTTAATTCTGGATTTATATAACTATACATCCTGTGTTATACCGTGTTGCAGCTTTTATATTGTAATGGTGATACTACAAAAAATGACATAAACTCAGCTTTAATTATTGTAATTTAAGATTAAGGGAGAAATTAAATATCTCCTTAATTGTAGCTGCTGTCTGCTTCTTATTCATCTTTAAGTTCCTTATTCATTTCTTGTGCTTATGTACAAGAGTTCATATAAAATAAAAAAGAGATTTGAATCACTTAACACAAGCCAAACAATTTGTTGGATATATTGAGAATGCTATTTCAATGCCAAGAAATGTGAAATGCAAGGCAAATTCTTGCTGGGATCTCAATTATGAAAAGAATCTCTGTCTTTGAGAAGTTGAGAATATCATGTAGAAGCCAGATAAATAAATAGACAATTATAAAGAAGTATAAGAATGGTGAAAGTTATAATTTATAAGTTTAATTGTGTTTACTAATTTAGTCCTTCAAAAGAAAATAAATTATTTGTTTAAAAACTAAACATATGCATTTGAAGATTTTATTCTTACGTTTTTAGAGTTATTGGAAAAATCTCCAAAAATTTGTCCTCTTCAGATTTTCTTATGTCTGTCTTAATTTTCCTGAATAAGTACACAAGAAAAATAATATGCAAAAAGTGTAATTTTCATGTTTGTTTCTAATAAATGATATAATTAACCATAAAATATTTCAAGTATTTATTTAAAAAGCTGGAATTGGCAACAATAGAATATGACCAAATATCCAACATCTTTTTTAAAATTGTTATTAAGATAAATCAGAACAAAAAAAAAACTTATTTCAATCACTGTGAACTGAGATTTCAAAATTGTAGCTGCAGGGAAAAAAACTGATGTAATCAATAGAGAATGACACATTCTCATTTGTTGTCTGTCAAAAGGATATCCTATGGCTGTTACATGGTTTTCATAGTTTATTTTTGGAAAAGAGCAATTCCTGTAAATATGAAAATGCAGAAGCCTAAAGAAATAAGATTTATTTTATAAGTACATAGCAAATCAAGAGAATAAAAGGGCAAAATGTTTGTCATCACATGGATGAATATAGGCACTCATAAAAGACAATATTGGTCCTGGGAGAAGGTACTAAAGCTTAGAATATACTATTATTGAAGAAGGAAAGCCTTAGAAACTTCTTTAAAACACAATAAAATGTCTTCCATCTGGGGTAGTCTCTTTCCCAGAAGACAGAATCTGGATGGTGATTTTGATGTTTACTTCAAAAAATATGAGATCTATATATATATGTGTATATATATATATATATACACACACACACACATATATATATACACATATATATATATACACACACATATATATAGAGAGAGAGATGTATGTGTATATATATAGTATAACTATATATCTATACATATTTATATACAAATATACCTATTTATGATTGTATTCAATTTCCTCTCTCGGACATTATATAGCTAGGTACCTAAGTATAGGTATATTTAGATTTACTAACATTCTTGAAGTTGTTACTTTTGTTGCTTGTAATCATTACTTACATTGTGTGTGTGAAATTATGTTATTAAATTTTTGAAAGACATTTCAAATTGCTTACTAATTATTATTCACACAGAAATGTCACAGTTTACTTGAGCTTAACCCTATTATTAAACACTTTGCTGGGATTCAATAATTTTTTTATAAATAATGCCACCATTAGCACCCACATACATAAAAGTTTATCCTAATCTCTGAGTATTTCCTTAAATATACACCTAGATGAAAAATTAGTGGGTGGGAAAGAAAAGCCGTTGTGAGGTATAAGCTAATTTCTTTTTCAAAAATATATAAGAATTTATAATATTACCAAGTTATACAGAGTGCCAGTCTTACTGTCTTGTCAAAAAAATTTTGTCTTAAAAAACCTTTTTATATGAGTAAGTTTTAACATAACAAAATATAAAGAGTCGTATAGTCAATCCCCAAGTGTTCATCATTACATTTATATTTCCCTTCTTAGTAGTGAAATTGAAATTTTTGTATTTAATTTTTTATGTATTTAATCACATATATAATAATGAATACTGATATATTAATACCTCTCTTCTAATTATTGCATTTTTTTTGCAGTTTCTTGAGCATTGTTTGGTCAGTAGTAACAGCCTATGGTACAATCCTGTCATTTTCTTTATTTTAAATGAAATTACGTTAATACTTCAGAAGTCTGCTGTAAATATCTAGTAGGTAGCATAACACACCTGGCAATGTTTGAAGGAATGATGGATATTGCATAAGAAAATACATAGATGCTCTGGATAACATTAAGTTTTGTAAGACATAATTTACTTTATTTTAGGCAAACACTTAGAGTAACAGAAAATTGCCTTCTTCCAAACAAGAATTGGATGATTTGAGACAAAGAGTTAGCGTTTGTGAGGACTGCCTTACTCTTGTTTGGCTTTCAATGTTTATACCAGGGCCACTCATTCTTGGTGAGCCCTGAATGCTGTTTCATTTTTAACTCAGAACTAGCTTTGCCTAGTTCTGAGATAAATCTATGCCTTACAACTATTTATAAGCTAAGTTAACATCTTAGCTTCCATTTTCTGCCTGGATTTCTGCCTCTTGCTGTGTACATCTTCGAAATCAGCAAACGCCCAGAGAAGACAAGCAGTGTTGCCCTGCCATTCTCTTTTCTGAGGGACAGGAGTCTAAGGTCCTGACTGCCTTGATTGCCCTGAGCTGCAATTTGTGTCTTTTCAGCCCCATCAGACTGCCCAGAGGCCTCAGCCCACATGCATTGCAAGGTCTCTAAGCCTAGAGCTGCTTATGAATCAATCATTTCTAAAGGCAAAAATGGCAAAGAATGTCAGGCTCATTTCCATTCACGTCCCCTCTTTCTGGGACTTCAGGCTTTTAAGTGTTAGCTGTATTTTTTAGTCTCTAATGTCTTAAAACAGCTAAATTTTGTACTATGAACTGAAGCTTTATAGTTACTCATGTGGGAACAGTTTGTCTGATACAAACTAATCCATCATGTTTAAAAGAAGCCCCTGTGTATTTGTAATTTTGAGGTTGTCTATTTCTGAAACTTCTTGAATTTTTTCAGATTTATATATTTATTTATGAATTTTAATGTTCTTCACTTATTTTTTTTCATTCTGTCCATTATTTCTTAACAATTACACATTTTATTTTATATCCTGGGGCTAATAATTTCAACATCTAAAAGGTTGGGTTCTAAATCTGTTGTTTGTTGTTTCTGACAACAGAAGTTTGATTCCTTCTGTGTCAGGTAATATTATTTTAAAGTCATAATTAATTTTCTTTACTCTCAGGGACTTCTTAGGGGCCTACATTTTGCAGATGCCTTCCTCTAATGAGCCTGAATCTGCTTCAACCCAGAACCAAAGGCCTCAGTAACTTAGAGCCATGTCAGCCCCCTTTAACCATTCAGGCTTAATGCAGCATCTCTGGTTCCTTGTTCTCCCGCCTTGTGTTTGGCCCAAGGCAGATGCTCCAGATCTTATTGTTGGAAACCTCTGTCCACAAGAGATGCTGGCTTTTGTATTCCTTTAGCTCTCTCTCTGGTTTCACCTCACTGTTCCTTCAGCTATTTGACTATGCCCTTGAAAATTTCTCTTATTTTCATGTAAGACGAGCAATGCAAATAATTTTTTTTGTAATTTGCCCAGGTGGGCTGGTATTAGAATTAGAGGGCATTTCAGCCTGAGTCTTCTATTCTCCAACAGTCAGAAGTGTCCTTTTTCTCTTTTATTCTACAGTTTTCTCCATAGATTATTTCACTTGATTTATGTCCTATAATTTTTGAAATGTAGGTATTTTGTCTATAACTAAACCATTAACACTCTGAAATTTTTCAAACATTTTGGATATTTGTAAGGTAGACTCATTGACATTTTCTTAGTTAATTAATTTTGGAGTATTCACAAATTTAATATACTATTTTCAGTTATAACTTCTACATCTCTAAAATGCAAATAATCCCACCTTAAATTTTAAATATCATGTATTAAATTAGAACATCTCTAATTACAATGTAAATGACCATTCATTAACAATTTGACCAAATCCCACACTTCTAATAGTGAGTGTAATTCAAAATCTGGACCTAAACAGGAATTGATACATGCCTTAGAACTGAGGGATTATTAGCAAATATTCAAAACTACAAGTATGAATTACTGAATACTCATTTGTTCTTCTGTTATACATTCTCTTCTTCAAATGATAGACAACTTGGCAACAGAAACTTTCTAATTTTAGAAACACTTACTATTAATTGTGATAACATTTGTTATCAATTGCAGAATTTCAGTAAACATCTACTAAATTTAAATTGCAAGTAATTTAACTGATCTAAATGGATATCCAAAGTGGACAAGTCTCACATATATTTATGAATTATAAATTCACTTTGAAGTATAATATGCTATTTATCAATGTAAACTTTGTGTGAATGTGAAATTCACCTTTGTAATATTTTGAAGATGTGAAAAGCCAAGTGTAATTAGAAGACTGCTGTTACCGACACAACTCTTCCCATAGGACCCTTCAAGCAGAAAACAATTTTATGGATCTAGGATACTTTTCCTCAGTAACTGATTTTTTTTAAGTAATAGATAATACATCAATGACATAAATACATACATATATATATATATTTAACTAATTGTAATTTCATTTTTTCTCCCCCCAATTTATGTACTTATTTATTTAATTTCAATAGGTTTGTGGGAAACAGGTGTGTTTGGTTTACATAGATAAGTTCTTTAGTGGTGATTTCTGAGATTTTGGTGCACCCATCACCTGAGCAGTGTACACCATACCCAATGTGTAGTCTTTTGTCCCTCAACCTCCACTCTTTCATCCCTCCCCTCAAGTCCCCAAAGTCCATTGTATTGTTCTTATGACTTTGTGTCCTCATAGCTTAGCTCACACTTATAAATGAGAACATACGATTTTAGGTTTTCCATTGCTGGGTTACTTCACTGGGAGTAATGGTCTTTAACTCCATCCAGGTTGCTGCAAATGCCATTATTTAGTTCCTTTTTGTGGTTGAGTAGTATTCCATGGCATATGTGTGTGTGTGTGTGTGTGTGTATATATGTGTGTGTATATATATATGTATACATGTGTGTGTGTGTATATATATATATAGAACACAACAAGTATATATGTATGTATGTATGTATATATATATATATATATACCATTATTTCTTTATCCACTCATTGATTGATGGGCATTTGGGCTGGTTCCATATTTTTGCAATTGCAAATTATGTTGCTATAAACACACATATGTGCAAATGTCTTTTTCATATAATGACTTCTTTGAATCTAGGTAGATATCCAGTATTGGGATTGCTGGATACAGTGGTGGATCTAGTTTTATTTTTTAAGGAATCTCCATACTGTTTTTTATATAGTGGTCATACTAGTTTACATTCCCACCAGCAGTGTAAAAGTGTTCCCTTTTTCACCACATCCTTGTCGACATCTATTTTTTTTTATTTTTTGACAATAGCCATTCTTGGAGGAGTAAACTGGTATTCATTGTGGTTTTGATTTGCATTTCCCTGATCATTAGTGATGTTGAGCATTTTTTCATATGTTTGTTGGCTATTTATTTATGTTCTTTTGAAAATTGTCCATTCATGTCCTTAGCCCACTTTTTGATGGGATTATTTATTGTTTCTTGCTGATATGTTTGAGTTCTTTGTAGATTCTGGACATTTGTCCTTTATCAGATGCATAGTTTGTGAAGATTTTCTCCCACTCTGTGGGTTGTCTGTTTATTCTGCTGATTATTTCCTTTGGTGTGCAGAAACTTATTGAGTTTAATTAAGGCCTATCTATTTATCTTTGTTGTTGTTGTTGCATTTGCTTTGGAGCTCTGGGTCATAAAGTCTTTGCCTAAGACAATGTTCAGAAGAATTATTCTGAGTCTATCTTCTACATTTTTAGTGACTTTACGTCTTAGATTTAAGTCTTTGATTCATATTGAGTTGATTTTTGTATAAAGTGAGAGATGAGGATCCAGTTTTTTGCCATGTGGCTTGCCAATTATCCCAACAAAATTTGTTGAATAGGTTGTCCTTTCCCCACTCTATGTTTTTGTTTCCTTTGTCAAAGATCAGTTGGCTGTAACTATTTGGCTCTCTTGCTGGGTTTTCTATTCTGTTCTATTTGTCTGTGTGCCTATTTTTATACCAGTACCATGCTGTTTTGGTGGCTATAGTCTTATTGTACAGTTTGAAGTTGGGTGACGTGATGCCTTTAGATTTGTTGTTGTTGTTGTTGTTGTTGTTTAGTCTTGCTTTGGCTAGGCAGGCTCTTTTTTGATTCCACGTGAGGTTTAGAATTTTTTTTAAGTTCTATGAAGAATGAAAATATTTTGATGGGAATTGCATTGAATTTTTAGATTGCTTTTGGCAGTATGATTATTTTCCCAATGATTCTACCCATCCATGAACATGGGATGTGTTTCCATTTGTTTCTGTCATCAATGATTTCTTTCAGCAGTGTTTTGTAGTTTTCCATGCAGAGTCTTTCACCTCCTTGCTTAGGTATATTCCTGAATATATTATATTATTTTTTGGCAGCTATTTTAAAAAGAGTTGATTTCTTGATTTAATTCTCAGCTTGGTCGCTGTTGGTGTATAATGGTGCTACTGATTTGTGTACATTGATTTTGTATCCTGAAACTTTACTGAATTCTTTTATCAGATCTAGGAGCTTTTTGCGTGAGTTTATAGAGTATTCTAGGTATACAATCATATCATCAGTGAACAGCGACAGTTTGACTTCCTTTTTACCAATTTTGGTGCCCTTTATTTCTTTCTTTTGTCCGATTGTTCTGGCTAGGATGTCCAGTATTATGTTGAATCCAAGTGGTAAAAATGGGCATCCTTGCCTTGTTCCACTTCTCAGGGGGAATGCTTTCAACTTTTCCTCATCCAGTATAATGTTGACTGTGGGTCTGCCATAGATGGCTTTTATTATCTTAAAGTATGTCCCCTCTATGCCAGTTTTGCTGAGGGTTTTAATCATAAAGGGATGTTGGATTTTGTTAAATGCTTTTTCTGCATCTCTTGGGATGATGATGTGATTTTTGTTTTTAATTCTGTTTATGTTGTGTAGCACATCTATTGACTTGCATATTTGAAAACATCCATGCATCCCTGGTGTGAAATCAACTTGATCATCGTGGACTATCTTTTTGATATGGTGTTGGATTTATTTAGCTAGTATTTTGCGGAGGATTTTTGCATATATGTGTATTAGGGACATTTGTCTGTAGTTTTCTTTTTTATTATGTCCTTTCCTGGTTTTGGTATTAGGGTGATAGCAGTTTCATAGAATGATTTACAGAGGATTCTCTCCTTCTCTATCTTTTGGAATAGTTTCAATAGAATTGGTACCAATTCTTCCTTGAATATCTGATATAATTCAGCTGTGAATCCACTGGGTCCTGGACTTCTGTTTTCTTGACACTTTTTTTAATTACCATTTCAATCTTGCTCCTTGTTATTGGTCTGTTCAGAGTTTCTATTTCTTCCTGGTTTAATATAGGACAGTGGTATATTTCCAGGAATTTATCCAAATCTGCTAGCTTTTCTAGCTTGTGCATGTAAAGGTGATCATAGTAGTCCTGTCTGATCTTTTCTATTTCTGTGTTATCAGTTGTAATATCTCCTGTTTCATTTCTAATTGAGCCTATTTTGATCTTCTCTCTTCTTTTCTTGGTTAATCTCACTAATGGTCTATGAGTTATGTTTATCTTTTCAAAGAACCAGCTTTTTGTTTTACTTATCTATTGTATTTTCTTTCTCAATTTTATTTAGTTCTGCTCTGATCTTTGTTATTTTTTTTTTCTTCTACTGGGTTTGGGTTTGATTTGTTCTTGTTTCTCTAGCTCCTTGAAGTGTGATCTTTGATTGTCTGTTTGTGCTCTTTAGACTTTTTGATGTAGGCATTTAGTACTATGAACTTTCCTTTTATCATTGATTTTGCTGTATCCCAAAAGTTTTAATAAGTTGTTTCACTATTATCATTCAGTTTATATAATTTTTAAAATTTCTATCTTGACTTCACTGTTGACCCAACAATCATTCAGGATCAGATTACTTAACTTCCATCTATGTGCATGATTTTGAGGGTTTGTTTTGGAGTTGATTTCCAATTTTATTCCACTGTGGTCTGAGAGAGTACTTGATATAATTTCAGTTTTCTTAAATTTGATAAGACTTGTTTTGTGGGTTGTCATACAGTCTATCTTGGAGAATGTTCCATGTGCTGATGAATAGAATGTATATTCTGCAGCTGTTGGGTAGAATGTTCTCTAAATATCTGTTAAGTCCATTTGTTCCAGGGTATAGTTTAAGTCCATTGTTTCTTTGTTGACTTTCTGTCTTGATGACGGTCTAGTGCTGTCAGTGGAGTATTAAAGTTCCCTACTATTATTGTGTTGCCATCTATATCATTTCTTAGGTCTAGTAGTAATTGTTTTATAAATTTGGGACCTCCAGTGTTAAGTGCATGTATATTTAAGATTGTGATATTTTCCTGGTGGACAAGTCCTTTTATCATTACTTAATGTCCCTCTTTACCTTTTTAAACTGTCATTGCTTTAAAGTCTGTTTGTCTGATATAAGAATAGCTACTCCTGTTCACTTTTGGTGTCCATTTGCATGGAATATCTTTTTCCACTCATTTACCTTAAATTTATGTGAGTCTTTATGTATTAAGTGAGTCTCTTGAAGATAGCAGATACTTGGTTGGTGAATTATTATCCATTCCGTATTTTTTATGTGGGGCATTTAGGCCATTTACATTCAATGTTAATATTGAGATGTGAGGTACTATTCTTTTTATCATGGTAGTTTTTGCCTGAATACCTTCTTTTTTTTTCCCACTGTATTATTGTTTTATAAGCCTGGTGAAATTTATGCTTTAAGGAGGTTCTATTTTGGTGTATTTTGAGGTTTTGTTTCAAGATTTAGAACTCCTTTTAGCAGTTCTTGTAGTGCTGGCTTGGCAGTGCCAAATTCTCTCAGCATTTCTTTGTCTAAATATTATTATATCTTTTCTTCATTTATGAAGCTTAGTTTCACTGGATACAAAATTCTTGGTCGATAATTGTTTTGTTTAAGGAGGCTAAAGATAAGACCCCAATAGTTTCTAGCTTGTAGGGTTTCTGTTGAGACATCTGATGTTAATTTGATAGGTTTTTCTTTATAGGTTATCTGATGCTTTGCCTCACAGCTCTTTAATTTTTTTACCTTGTTTTTCACCTTTCTCTGGCGCCTTGTTGAGTAGCTTAATAACCAACCTTCTGAATTCTTTTTCTGGAAATTCAGAGATTTCTTCTTGGTTTGGATCCATTGTTGGTGAGCTAGTGTGATCTTCTGATGGTGTTATAGCTCCTTGCTTTGTCATATTACTAAAATTGTTTTTCTGGTTCCTTCTTATTTGGATAGACTATGTCAGAGGAAAGATCTGGGGCTTAAGGGCTGCGTTCAGATTATTTTGTCCTGCACAGTGATTCCTTGATGTGGTGCTCTCCTCTTTCCCCTTTGGATGGAGCTTCCTGAGAGCTGGACTGCAGTGATTGTTTTTGCTCTTCTGGGTCTAGCCACCCAGCAGAGCTACTGTACTCTGGGGTGGTACTGGGGAGTGTCTGTGGATCCTGTAATGTGATCTGTCTTCAGGTCTCTCAGCCATACACAACAGCGGAGGTAGTAGGGGAGTGAAGTGAATTGTGTGAGGGTCCTTGGTTGTAGTTGTGTTTAGTGTGCTGGTTTCCTCTAATGCTGGTTGTGCTAGCAGTTTCTTGGCCTCCAGCCAGGAGGTGGAACTTTCAAGAGAGCATCAGCTGATATAAGCTTGCCCTAAGATTTCTTGGATAAGTATACTTTGGGTTTCTCAGGCAATGGGCAAGGCCTTAGAGCTCCTAAGAGATTACGTCTTTCATTTTGACTACCAAAGCAGGTAGAGAAAGGCTTGGTGGGTGCAGGGTTAGGCATATCTGAGCTCAGACTCTCCTTGGGCAGGGCTTGCTGTGGCCACTGTGGGGGATGGAGGTGTGGTTCTCTGGCCAATGGAGTTACTTTCCCAGGGGGATTATGGCTGCTTCTGCTGCGTCATACAGGTTGCCAGGGAAGTGGTGGAAAGCTGGCAATGACAGGCCTCACCCAGGTCCTACACAGCCAGCAAGGCCAGCCTTATTCCCACCTTGTCCCAGCATCAGCCTGGAGTTTATATCCAGGCAGCTGATAAGCAGGGCTGAGATCTTGCCCCAGGCTGCAAACCTCCCTGCTGAGAAAGTAAGCAAGGTTTTTAGGCCTCACCCCTCCCCACTTGCTTTAGCCTCTGTGTTCCTATGGCCTGTACTTCCCATTTGCACTCCGCCCTGGATTGTACCCAGGAATACTGGTGTTCAGTCAAAATTATTAGAAAGTTCAACTGGAGGTTTCCTTCTCCCTGTGGTCCTTTCCCAATTCCACTGGCTTCCCTCCCCAAGAACCCCTGTGAGATAAAGTTAGAAATGGTTTCTCTGGGTACTGAGAGTGCCTACAGGGCTCATCCTACTTCCTCTTCTATTTTTATATTTCACTTGGCTCTCTACATTTGTTTCAGCTCTAGATAAGGTTAAATACTTCCTTTGTGATCTGGATTTTCAGGTTCCCTCAGTGAGGTGAGCATATGTACTTGGAGGCTGACTTTCCCCTCTCACATTTTGGGCACTCACAGTTTTCTAGCTGTTCATGGAGTGTGCTGTGGCAAGCCACTTCTTTCAAAGGGTCTGTGAATTCCTTTGGTTTTCCTGCTATGTTCCTGCATTAGTTCTTCAAGCAAAAATTCATTATGTGAGTCTCCTCATGCTGTTCTGTCCATCCAAGTGGGAGCTGCAAGTTAGTCCTGTATCCTATCTGCCATTTTCACATCAATGACATATATTACAAATACCTTCTTCCAAACACCACCATATACAAAATTTTATTTACTTCCAACAACAAACTTATCTTGAGAGTATTTTCCAAGCTCATTTTGAATTTGAAGAGATTAAGAAACTTTTTTAGTTTCTACCATTTAGTAAGTAGAGTTTTAATCAGGATTGTGTGTAATTCCAAAATTTGTATTATTTCTTCTGCTCTTTTGCTCACATTTAACCTGTTAATGATGAGATGTGCTAAGAATAACTTTTTTTTTTTTTTTTTTTTTTTGAGACAGGGTCTCGCTCTGTCGCCAGGCTGGAGTGCAGTGGCACGATCTTGGCTCACTGAAACCTCTGACTCCTGGGGTTCACGAGATTCCCCTACCTCAGCCTCCCGAGTAGCTGGGATTACAGCCATGCACCACCACACCCAGCTAATTTTCGTATTTTCTGTAGAGACGGGGTTTCACCATGTTGGCCAGGATGGTCTCTATCTCCTGACCTCATGATCCACCCGCCTTGGCTTCCCAAAGGGCTGGGATTACAGGCGTGAGCCACCATGCCCTGACACTCACTAAGAATGACTTTTTTAAAAGGCCTGCTAAATACTTGACATACATTAATTCTTATTATATTATTTTTATTTAGAATTTTACTGAAGATTAGAATCAGTTCTCAAGTGCAGTGTGTGAAGGAAAAAATCTCAGGCCAGCTAAATAAACCTTATCTTATGATTTTAGAAAACATATTTGAAATATAAGAAATTATATAATTGACAAAATTAAATATGCTCTATTATATTTCCATTTCATGTTTTATAAATTAATTTTATATACCAAAATTATAAATATATTATAATTTTACCTTATTTTCAAACTCTGTTTTATTAATTTCCATTGAGATTTACCTTTTAATAACATGTTTTCAAAATCTAACGTAACATATTACATTAAAATTCAGCCCACATTTCAAAATTTTATTCTAATTATAAGCATGAAGAACCATGAAATTAGTATCTTTAAATGTCCAAAAATGTACATATGAATGTCCAGAAAATTTTTCTAGACAAAATTCATTTGTCTAGAAAATGGATGTCCAGAAAATGAATACAAGTTTATAAAGGTCTCAATTAATATATTCTTATTAAAATAAAAATCTTACTATAAGTATCCTAAACACTCGTTTATAAAATTTAAATTTCACAGCCATATATTCTCTTAAAAGAACACATTATTTAATGAAAAAAACAACTTTTATTTATTTTTCAATTTAAAAATAAGGGTTTTATATATTTAAGGTTTAAAACATGATACTTTGAATATGTATATATTGTGGAATGGCTCAATCAAGATAATTAACATATAAATTGCCTCAAATATTTTTCCCTGCTGAGAACAGCTAAAATCTACTCTCAGCATTTCTTTCTTTCTTTCTTTCTTTGAGACAGTTTTGCTCTTGTTGCCTAGGCTGGAGTGCAACGGCAGGATCTTGGCTAACTGCAACCTCTGCCTCCCAGGTTCAAGCGATTCTCCTGCCTCAGACTCCTGAGTAGCTGGGATTACAGGTGCCCACCACTATGGGTTTTTTTGTGTTTTTAGTGGACACAAAATTTTACCCTGTTGGCCAGGCTGGTCTTCAACTCCTGACATCAAGTGATCTGCCTGCCTTGGCCTCCCAAAGTGCCGGGATTACAGGCATGATCTCACCAATTTTCAAATAGACAATACATTGTTATTAACTATAGTCATGTCATAGAGATCTATTATATAATTGATCTCTAACTTATTCCTTTTTCCTGACTAAAATTTTGTGTTCCTTGACCAACATTTCTCCAGTCTTCACCACTAGATTCTCAGCTCCTAATAACCACCATTCTACTCTCTGCTTCTATGAGTTTGACTTTTTTAGCTCCTATGCAAAAGTGAGATCATTCTGTATTTGTCTTTCTGTGACTGGTTTAGTTCACTTAACATAATGTTCACTTAACAAAAGCAACTTTTAGACACAAAATAAATAAATCTTTTTTTTTCTGTAAGTAAGTATTTCTAGGCCATAATATGTTGTATAAACGTCAAATAAAAGTTCTATAATTCAATACAAGGTCATTATGTTTCCTACTGTCAGAGAACTATTAATATACTATCTGGGATATACCCTATCAGCAATATTTCTATCTAACTTGGCTTCAGACTTCAGTTATCAGATTTGCTCTGCCCTCTGTAGCTCATCAGTTATCAAGGGCTGTCTGATTTACATCAGCATTTCTACTACCTTAGTTGAAACTTTATCACCTCAGCCCTGTAGTCCTGGGATAAAACATGTGCTTCTTAAATGGATTTACTTGTTCTTACAACACAGAAATACGTTAGACAGTGATCTCCCTATCTCCAGTCTCTCTCCAGTCCCATCCACCCAGCTCTCTATCTACTATAAAATTAATTTATCATGACTTTTAGCATGATCATTAAAATACAAAATATAAATATAAATAAAATACAATAAAAACCTTCATTAGATCCCCATTCCCCAGGTAAGGACTAATATTCTTTGCCCATGACAAAACTATTCTTCATCACCTAATTTAACTGGCAGGTTTTTCCTATTTTCTTTCCATCAAAAATTTCTTGCCAGTATACTTCTAAACTTTATCATATTTTACCACTCACCACCCCAGATCCGAAGCTCCCTTCCACTAACAGTACTACTCATACACATACATTGCTTTATGCTTGATGTCTTTCTTCTTTTATCCCCTGCTTATCTCACCCTGCTTTAAAATCCTCCCATCCCTGGCTTCTCAGTAGCCTGACCAATTCAATTATGTAGAAAAAAGCTGTTTTTAGTCATGTTTATTTTATCAACATATTATTATAGAATTTTTAAACATTAAAAAGTGAGAAACAATCATACAGTTAACATCCATATTCTCATCTAAGTGATATCGTTACTAGTATGCAACATGGCTTTATCACATACGTATCCATCTATCATTTTTCTATCACTCATCAATTTTTTAATGCATTTCAAAATTGAAAACATGAATGAACTTGATCCTAAACACATTTGGATACATATTATCATTAGATTTCAAATTTTTTTTAGATATTTTAGGCAAAATTTACATTCATTGAGATGTGCAAATCTTAAGTGGTCCTTTAAGTGAGTTTTCACAATGCATACAGGTATGTAACCCAAACACTAAACATGATAGAGCATTGCCACTACCCCAGAAAGCACACTCATATTCCTTCCCAGTCAATTTCACCTTCCACATCTCCAAAGACAACTATTCCTTTGAATATTTTTTCAACCTACGTTAGTTTTGCCTATTTGTAGACTTCACATAAATGGAAATCACACATTTTGTAGTCTTTTATCTAAGATTTTTTCAATTAGCATATTATTTTTGGAATTCATTTATGTTGTGCATATCCCTATCTTCTTTTTAATTAATTAATAGTAATCTGTTTATCCATTCTCCTATTGATGAAAACCTGAAATATTTTCACTTTTAGCTATTATGAATAAAGCTGATGTAAACAGTCATGTAGAAGTATTTTTGTGGTCACTGCACATATATGTTGATATTATAAGTCATTCACCTTGTAAAAAACATATTCATGAAAAACATCAGAGAAAATATCATCTTACTTTTTGGGAACTGTGTCAATATGTCACTGAGTGAATTACAACATAGTGTTATTTTCATTATGGCTATTTATTAATAAATCTATTTGCTTTTTTATGGTCTTTTCTACTAATAACATTTCATATGTTGTGTAACAACCTGGACTTTCGGGAAATTTTATACATAGAAACATTCTTTGCTATACCAGAATTATAGGATGTATTTTTATTTAATGTGGAAGCTTTTGAAAAATTTTATGTTAGCACTGTTTCACACTCAAGTAGTCTTGATGTCTGACTTTTAAAGGATGCTTCTATGAACATGCAGCACTTAATGTGGTCAGAAATACAAACATACTCTCGTAGACTATTATATACATATATATATGCACATATACATATATATACACACACACATAATGATATACACACCAAAAGGTGACTTAATACTGAGAGCAAAATTTATGAATAAATACCCAAATGGATAAGAACATTTAATTTACTCTATTACACTGGAGTCATATCAACTATACACATTACTCAAGGAATCCAACCATAAGAGAGAGAGAGAGAAAAAATTTCAATGATTACAGAGATACCAAGCTCAGTTTCTCTGGAGTAAGCAAGCAAGAGGTAAGAGAAGTGGAAATGCTAATGTTTTAGAAAGTCCCAGTATCCATGTAGTGTGGGGAATAGAGTCCTACAGTTAATTACTTATTTTGTATTTTGTATAAAAGTGACTTATACAAAAGAAAACAAAGTATTTTATTTTGTATCATAAACAAAACACTGAGCTAAAAATAGATATAAATTTCCACACTAGATTTAATGTTTTAATAGATGGTGCTATATGTGTGTGTATATACATCTAGTCCAATTTCTAATATGAATTTATTAGAAATGTAAATAATTTTTAAAATAAATAATTTTAATGATTTTTTAATTTTTGGCTTATATATAGACTTTAGAGCCTAACGCCTCACCAACAACCCCAAATACCTTTGGGTGCATGATATTCACTTATTTTAATAAAATTGAAAAAGTTGCATAACACTTATAAACTTTAGTAGGGTAATTAAGTATTTTAAATGTTGGTGTTTCTCATATGCAAAATGAGAGTAATAACATTTCCTATTTCTCTGAGACATTTTGAGGTACATGCTGATGCAAGAGCACAGGGTTGCATGTTAAGTTGTTGTAAGTTAACAACTTAACCAAATGCTGATTCAATAAATGATGGATGCAGCCTTACTTTGAAATATTATGACATATGTTATTCATCTGTGGCAATTCTTTCACACTTAAACCTCTATCCATCGGAGGTGAGGCTTCTATGTCTTCACAGAGCAAATACAGTTAAAATGCAAGCTCTTGATAGCGAACTTTTGACGTCTTAACAGTTTATCCTGAAAGAAAGTTTATGAGCAAAATAAGTTGTTATAAAAACATAAAGTTATATTTTTGAAAAAACTGAATTGCACATGTATATTTTAAACCCACTATATTTATTAGCCATTGTTTTCTAAATTTTATGTGCATTAAAATTTTAATATCAATATCAATTTAATCTTTATCAGATAATTATATTAAACCAGTTATTCTATATTATAAGGTTAATATAATTGAGTATATTTTATAGCAATTATACACATCATTTTTTCACAAATATTATACTATTCTTAATAGATACTTGGCCTATTGTTATAAGGTTGTAATTTGAGGTATTTTTGTTGCACATAACTTGTAATATTTTTGTAAGTGTCTCAATTGGAGCTATACCTTTTAAGTGACTCAAGAATCTCTACTGGAGACCATTGCAATGCCCAACTCTGATGCGTGGGTAGAAATAAGTAATGACTTCATGTATTTGGAAGTCTGACTAATTATAATCGTATCATACAATTATTTGTTTAGGTGCTCATGTATTTAATAGACAATGTCACTTTCTGATAATGCTGCTGGTATTTTCTCCCAAATCAAAAACATGACCTTTTAAAAATGTTTGTTTCAATAATTGGAAATTATTAATTTTGAAATATAATTAAAATGGTATCCTTTCTACTGTCTGCTCCTTATATGTTTCTTGGGTTTCCAGATTATAAATTCATTCTTTTGGGATTATCTAAATCTGCTGCCAATATTCATTGAGTGGCTACTAATTTCTAGTCACTGTTCTCTTTTTTTTTTTTTTTTTGAGATGGAGTCTCCCTCTGTCACCCAGGCTGGAGTGCAGTGGGTGATCTCAGCTCACTGCAACCTCCGCCTCCAGGGTTCAAGCGATTCTCCTGCCTCAGCCTCCCAAGTAGCTGGGATTACAAGCACCCGCCACTACACCCAGCTAATATTTTTAATTTTTGGTAGAGATGGGGTTTCACCATGTTGGCCAGGCTGGTCTCAAACTCCTGACTTCGTGATTTGCCTGCCTTGACCTCTCAAAGTGCTGGGATTACAGGCATGAGCCACTGGGCCTGGCCTAGTCACTGTTTTTAGTGCTAGTGAACAAAACTATAAAAATCCCTGCCATGGTTTAGCTTAAGTTCTATTAATGGGGCCATAAGCAAAAAAGTTAGTCGAAAATAGTTTATGTGATGATTATTTATGAAGAAGTATAAAGTAAAAACGGGGGAATGGAGAGTACAAAATGAGGGGACAGTGTTGATATTTTATGTACAGCGGAAGGCCACTTTGATAAGTTAAATCAGATATACAAGTTGCTATCTGAAAATGTAATTAATTTCTTTCTAAAAATGAAGAGCTCTTTAAATTATTATCACCAAGGCCAGGTGTGGTGGCACGCCCCTGTAATCCCAGCACTTTGGGAGGCCAAGGAGGGCGGATCAGCTGAGGTCAGGAGTTCGAGACCAGCCTGGCCAACATGATGAAACCCCATTTCTACTAAAAATGCAAAAATTAGCCAAGCATGGTGGCACACACCTGTAATCCCAGCTACTTGGGAGGCTGAGGCATGAGAATTGCTTGAACCTGGGAGGTGGAGGTTGTAGTGAGCCAAGATCAGGCCACTGCACTCCAGCCTGGGCGACAGAGTGAGACTCTATCTCAAAAAAAGAAAAAAAAAGAAGACATACATAAATAAATTATTACGATGAATGAACATTTGTTAAGCTTTTAAATCTTTATTTTCTCGTAATAATTTATGATTTATGGATATTTTAAAAGCAGGGTTTGTCAAACTATGACCATATCTAGCCTACCATTTGTTTTGTATGGTTTATGTACTAAGAACAGTTCGTACATTATAATGATTGGAAAAAAAATTCATAATGAAATTTTTATTTTTTTAAAATTCAAATTTTAATGTTCATAAACTTTCATTGGGTTTCACCTATTTGTTTACCTGTTGTCTGTGGCTGCTTTCACTCTACAGTGGTCACGTGGTTGCAAGAAAGAAACACACAAGGTGATCCACAGAGCTTACGACTTTTACTATTGCCCTTTCCAAGAAAACAGAGTTTTAGGACTGTTATTATAGAAGAAAATAAACCTCTACTGTATTTTTCTTGGAAATGTCTAGTGCCAAACGTCACATTTGTTTGACCCAAATCTAATTTATCAGCAGCTGGAGTGGGCAGTTTCTGTGCAAGTTTGCAATGTCACAGCACGGGCAACCTCCTGTTCTACCTGCTTTTCTACCTAACAGCATTCTTTGATGTATGCAGAGCAAATTCGGCCTGAATGTCCCTTGAACAGGCATCCCTGTAGTGGGAGTAAAGGATGAGGTTGAATCTCCAGAGGCAATTCTCAACTAACTTGGTATGAAAGTCTGTGATGCTATTCAAATTTCACTTCTAGTATTATCACTTTCCCTTTTTATATTACGCTTATGCCTCTGTTGGCCAATTCCCTTTTTCAATTATCCTTTTTATTTTTTTGTAAAATGATAGCAAGCTTATCACTAGGAGACAGAGAGTAAACACAAAAGCCTGTGCATGAACTTGATAATGATCACCTCCAGACTTTGATAGAATTGACACGATGAGTTATTTACGGTGATGTGCATCTGTTAAGTAATGACTTGTGGACTGAAGAGTTAGTAGTAAAATTTCTGCTTAATGTAATTACTCACAGTGAATACGTTATGATAACCGATATGTGAACCCTGTTATGGGGGACTGGTGTTACTTAACTAAACCATAAGTGACTGAAATTCACGTATATCAGAACAAAGTGAGGACTATCTGTGTTTGAGGAGACAATATAAAATTACACAGTTTGATATAGAGAAATAGAACTAGAATCTAGGCAGGGTATGGGGCTGATGGGCCCTGCAAGATCCTACTTAATAGATACAAGCCCATGAAGGAGCAGCCCTCTTTTGATTTGGCTAAAGGAGAATCAAGATTCTTAGAGGGACTGCTCTCTTCTTGACACGGGAAAACAATGCCAAGTGAACTTTCCTGCATACTGATTGACAGCTGGCAAGCAGAGAGCCCTCTGACTTTGACAAAGGCATTTATAACAGATTATTTCATTCTAAAGCAAGAGTAAACCAATTAAAAAGCTGAGACTCTCAAACTGATCTTTGGAGCCAAAACAGAGAAAATAATAATAAAATTTTATTATCACGTTGCTCTGTTTATCACCTTATACATGATAGCTGTGAACAAAAAGCAGAGCCTAGGTAAGGAAATCCTAAGCATGCTGATGGCATGTTAGGGCCACAGTAGCAGTGATCGGTCCTTCAGGTACTGATTAACTGAGTGGACAAGTGAAGGAGAATTAAAAGCCTCTTTTATTTCTACATTTTTTTTTTTTTGCATTACCTCCTTGTTGAATGACTACTTACAGCCATAGGTCAATTACTGATTTTGATTAACAGGCAGGTGTCTGTTCAGATAGCACTAAATCTTTCATGTGAACTCAAAGCAAATGTTCTCAGTGTGCCTAATAATAAGAATGTGGTGGGAAGGTGATGAAGAAAAATATAAGCAAGTGAGAAGCTTTAATTCTTAAGTATAAAATAAAAGCTTAATTTCCCAGAGATTTTCTATTGAATCATTTTATTATGGAGAGTGTATTACAGTCTTTTAATGTTTCATGCATGCCTCTAATTTTCATATAATTTAAATTAGTAAATTACATAACTTTAAGGATTAAACCCCTGATATTTGTCTCTTTGTATTCAAAGGACTTGGCCAGATCATTTATCCTGAATTCATCTCATCATTCTTTGCATTATTATCTGTATTGTTGCAAGGCAAAAATGGAAAATGAGATATCTTGACCTTATTTTTACCTCTTGGCTTGAACTGGACAAGCTACACTATCAGGATCTTTTAAAGAACAGCCTTTTATGCAGCAATTCTGTAACTGGATAATTTTTGCAGCATTTAATTAATAGTAATCATCCTATGGCTTTGAGAAAGAAAATGATACACTTACAATTCTCTGTCAGAGAAACCTGACCGTTTGCAATTAGGTTGGAGAAATAACATTAAAATACTGTATGACTTTTTCTGAAGAAAAGCAATATAATAAAAGAAGGGTTATTTTTTCATATTTGCCCCTTTGAGTACTGCCCTACTTGATGTTTGCCTCAGTGACTACATTCAGTCACTTTGGTTCCACTTCAACACTTTCTTTGAGCTTGAAGTATATCACTGGAGATTACTTGTTCAAGGTCATCAGTTTGCACACAGCTATAGAAACAACTCAAAACTATGAATAAAATCATGTCAGCCAAAGCTCAGTTCCATTTCACACACAAAGAATTTTCTTCTGAAATAACCACTTACTGTCTTGCTAAGGGATATTGTAGAGGAGAACCATACTTCCCCAAGCATCCCAAGGGAAGAACTAAGTTAAGACAGGATATCTGCATTTGCATCCATCTTTAGAATTAAAAAAAGATGCCTGGCCGGGCGTGGTGGCTCATGCCTGTAATCCCAGCACTTTGGGAGGCCGAGGTGGGTGGATCACGAGGTCAAGAGATGGAGACCAGCCTGACCAACATGGTGAAACCCCATCTCTACTAAAAACAGAAAAATTAGCTGGGTGTGGTGGCACCCACCTGTAATCCCAGCTACTCAGGAGGCTGAGGCAGGAGAATTGCTTGAACCTGGGAAGCAGAGGTTGCAGTGAGCTGAGATCGTGCCACTGCACTCCAGCCTGGTGACGGAGCAAGACTCCGTCTCAAAAAAAAAAAAAAAAAAAAGATGCCTATGAGTTAAGTTAAATTCTTATTTATGTCATCCCCTGTGAGTGTTTGGACAAGGGACTTCTAGCTCCCCAGAAGCCATGTTCTTAATCCAAGAATAAAATAAGGCTGTCAGATGAAAAGCGAAGTTTTCTTTTACAGCCTTATCTTCACTAGAAAGAGACAAATCTTAGTGACTAATTCAGCTGTAAATATTTCTGGGGCCTCTTCTGAGGGTGGTTCAGAGTAAAACTTAAGGGTCAAATATTTCCAAATTCAGACTAATAGCTATATTTTGCCTCTTAATAGAGGGTTTTGAACCTCATCATTGTACATTCTGTAGGTCTTTCTAGGAATGAAGACTGTATGAATGCAGACTGAATAAAAAATTCATGTGCTATGATAAAAGGCCTACCATAATTATAAATTCTTGAGTACTCAGTACATTCTTTTTGATCAATCTCCCTGTGAATGTACAGCAAATGATAATAAACATATCTTTCCTCCACACTAAATCTCCTTTAGTAGATCCATGGGGTAATAAGTCTGAGTGTGTTTAGCATATATTTCATGAATACCTGATCTTAATTCTCCAGTGTGTGGCTATTCTCTGGAAAAGAGAAATAGTCTCCCTAGGGCAAAATTAAATTACTTCTATGATACAGACTTGCAGAGAATAAGTAAAAGATTTAGAGATAAATAGAAGTCACCTAATGTGGCACTAATGTAATCTTGCATTTTAAAATGAGTAAATCTCAATGAATCACAGAAAGCCTTCAATTAGAGTATCTTAGTGAGGTTGGGTGCTCATTTATGAAAAAGGAAAACATGTATTTTTTACAGGCTTATAGTTTAGGTGGAGATCACTGGAACCTCATATTCTTTTACTACATGTCTGCAAAGACATTTTATGACTTCTTTTTTTGCCATACAATCAGGAATACTAGAACCTAATTGTCATGATTGCCATCTTTTTCTTTCATTCCAGTGTCTACATTTTCAACGAAAGCTAGAAAAATTCACATATTATATGGAAGACCTTTTCTGGGGCATAGGGCATTTTAATAACATAAATAACAAGGGCTTGCTTATTTTTGGCGAATGATGTTAGTTATAAAAATAAATATTTTATTTGAAAATGTCAAGTAGCATGAGTTTATGTTCAGTAAGCATTTTAAGATGAAAACGTAAAATAGTCTCACAATAATGTTTGAGTGTTCATTTGTTGTAAAGCTTTTTTTATTATATTTATTTTTATTTATTTATTTTTTTACTATTCTGAGATGGAGTCTCGCTTTGTTGCCCAGGCTGGAGTGCAGTGGCGCCATCTTGGCCCACTGCAAACTCTGCCTCCTGGGTTCAGGTGATTCTGCTGCCTCAGCCTCCCGAATAGCTGGGACTGCAGGCATGTGCCACCACTCTCGGCTAATTTTTTAATTTTGTTGTAAAGTTGTTTTAAATATGAGCTCTTTGCCATAAAAAGGTAGCTAACTAATAATGGTAGAAATAATAAGTTTAAGTTTTGGCTTACCTTTTTAAAAGTCTCTTTGTTGTGTCATCATTACCAGCAACAAAAGCTGCTTTTAAAAATAATGAACTACAACTTTAATTATAGCGCTAAGAAATATTTATGGTAGAACATTTAAAATAGGTAGTTACATATAAAAAATTCAACTTCCAGGCCAGGCACGGTGCCTGTAATCCCAGCACTTTAGGAGGCCTAGGCGGGTGGATCATTTTCAGGGCAGGAGTTCAAGACCAGCCTGGCCAACATGGTGAAACCCCGTCTCTACTAAAGGAAAAAAAAAAATTAGCCAGGCGTGGCGGCACATGCCTGTAATCTCAGCTACTCAGGAAGCTGAGGCAGAAGAATCACTTGAGCCTGGGAGGCAGAGGTTTCAGTGAGCCGAGATTGTGCTACTGCACTCCAGCCTGGGTGACAGAGGGAGACTGTCTCCAAAAAAAAAAAAAAAGAAAAAAAATTTTCCATTCTCTAAATTTACTATATATTAATTGCATTCACACACAGCTGTCCTAAAATGTTGCATTGATTTAATGTCAACCAGCTGATTTAGATGTGAACATCAAAATTATATATCTTCTAATCTACTGAAAATATATAAAATTATTTAATTATTAGGAAAGCCTAAGTAAATTTTCTGATATTTACCTATTGCATTCACATTAATTGCCTGCTTATGTAATTAGCATTTTTTTTATTTTGAGGTTTCTATTTTTCCTCTTGATTAATATGTTTTATATACCAACAAAATATAGCCTTTTCATATTTCTTAAAAGGTATAGTTAATTTCTTTATCTTTCAGTTTTTTATTTCTCTATTTGTATATTTTTGATGTAGATATATTTTATATTTAGATGGTTGGAGGTTATATATTTATTAAAATGTACTTTATAACTTCTGGGTTTTGTGGCTTTCCCTCACAAATCTTTCATCTTGGGCCACCTAGAAGTAAAAGTTAATCACCTACTTTTTAATATTCCAGTTCATTTACGGCTTTTTTAAAAAATTTTAGATTCCACGGGTACATGTGCATGTTTGTTGCATGGGTATATTGCGTGATGCTGAGGTTTGGGCTTCTAATGATCCCATTGCCCAAAGAGTAAACATAGTACCTGATGGATGATAGTTTTTCAACACTTTCCCACTTTCCTCCCTCCCCAGTTTTGGAATCCCCAGTGTTACTTGTTTCCATTTTTCTATCCTTTTGTACCCAGTGTTTACCTCCCACATATAAGCGAGAACATGTGGTATTTGGTTTTCTGTTTCTGTGATAATTTGCTTAGGATAATGGCCTACAGCTGCATCAATGTTGCTGCAAAGGACGTGATTTCATTCTTTATTATGGCTGCATAGTAGTCCATGGTGTATATGTACCACATTTTCTTTATTCAATCAACCATTGGTCGGCAACTGGGTTGATTCCATGTCTTTGCTATTGCGAATAGTGCTGCAGTAAACATATGAGTGCAGGTGTCGTTTTAGTAGAATGATTTCTTTTCCTTTGGGTATATACCCAGTAATGAGATTGCTTGGTTAAATACTAATTCTGTTTTTAGTTCTTTGAGAAATCTAATAACTGCTTTCTGTAAGGACTAAAGTTATTTGCATTCCCTCCAACAGTATATAAGCATTCCCTTCTCTTCATAATCTTGTCAATATGTTATTTTTTGACTATTTTATTTTATTTTATTTTATTTATTTTTTTAGAGACGGAGTCTCACTCTGTTGCCAGGCTGGAGTGCAGTGGTGCGATCTCGGCTCACTGCAACCTCCGCCTCCTGGGTTCAAGCAATTCTCCTGCCTCAGCCTCCCGAGTAGCTGGGACTACAGGCACACCCCACCACGCCCAGCTAATTTTTGTATTTTTAGTAGAGACGGGGTTTCACCATGTTAGCCAGGATGGTCTTGATCTCTTGATCTCATGATCCACCTGCCTTAGCCTCCCAAATTGCTGGGATTACAGGCATGAGTTACCACGCCCAGCCTTTTTTGACTTTTTAATAATAGCCATTCTGACTGGTGTGAGGAGGTATCTCATTGTGATTTTGATTTGCATCTCTCTGATGATTAGTGATGTTGAGTATTTTTTATGTTTCTTGGTCACATGTATGTTTCTATTGAGATGTATCTGTTCATGTCCTTTGCCCACTTTTTAACTTTACTTGTTGATTTTTTTTAAGTGTCTTAAAGATTCTGGATGTTAGCCTTTTGTCAGAGGCATAGTTTGCAAATATTTTCTCCATTTTGTAGGTTGTCTGTTTATTCTGTTGATAGTTTCTTTTGCTTTGCCAAAGCTCTTCAGTTTAATTACCTCTCAATAGTCAATTTTTGTTTTGGCTTCATTTGCTTTTCAGGACATAGTAATACATTATTTGCCAATTATTGGCAAATGTCTAGAAGAGTGTTTTATAGGTATTGTTCTATGATTTTTATGGTTTGAGGTCTTACATTTAAGTTTTTAGTCCATCTTGAGTTAATTTTTGTATGTGTGGAGAGGTAGGAGTGCAGTTTCATTTTTCTGCGTATGGTAAGCCTGTGTTCCCGAAACCATTTATTGATTAGGGTATTCTTTCCCTATTGTTTTTTTAGTTGTCATTGTCAAAGATCAGCTGGCTGTAGATGTGTGGTTTTATTTCAGGGGTCTCTATTCTTTTCCATTTGTCTGTGTGTTTATATTTTACTAGTGCCATGCTGTTTTGGTTACTGTAGCCTTATAGTATAATTTGAAGTCAGGTAATGTGATGCCTCCAACTTTATTCTTTTTGCTTAGGATTTCTTTGGATTCTAGGACTCTTTTTTGGTTCCATATGAATTTTAGAAAAGTTCTTCTAAGTCTGTGAAAAACAACATTGGAAATTTGATAGGAATAGAGTTAAATCTGTAGATTGCTTTGAGCAGTATGGACATTTTAATGATATTGATTCTTCCAGTCCATGAGCATGGAATGTTTTTACATTTGTTTGTGTCATCCATGATTTCTTTCAGCAGTGCTTTGTAGTTCTTGTAGATATCTTTCATCTCCTTGGTTATATTTATTCCCAGGTATTTTATTTTTTTGTGGATATTGTAAATGAGATGGGATTCTTGATTCGGTTCTCACCTTGAACATTATTTGTATATAGAAATGCCACTTATTCTTGTACATTGATTCTGCATCCTGAAATTTTGCCACAGTTGTTTATCAAGTCTAGGGTCTTTATATATATATATATGTGTGTGTGTGTGTGTGTGTGTATGTGTGTGTATATATGTGTGTATTTTTTTATATGTGCACAACATGCAGGTGTGTTACATATGTATACATGTGTCATGTTGGTGTGCTGTACCCATTAACTCGTTATTTACATTAGGTGTATCTCCTAATGCTATCCCTCCCCTCTCCCCCCACCCCACAACAGGCCCCGGTGTGTGATGTTCCCCTTCCTGTGTCCAAGTGTTCTCATTGTTCAATTCCCACCTATGAGTGAGAACATGCGGTGTTTGTTTTTTTGTCCTTGCGATAGTTTGCTGAGAATGATGGTTTCCAGCTTCATCCATGTCCCTACAAAGGACATGAACTCATCATTTTTCATGGCTGCATAGTATTCCATGGTGTATATGTGCCACATTTTCTTAATCCAGTCTATCATTGATGAACATTTGGGTTGGTTCCGAGTCTTTGCTATTGTGAATAGTGCCACAATAAACATATGTGTGCATGTATCTTTATAGCAGCATGATTTATAATCCTTTGGGTATATACCCAGTAATGGGATGGCTGGGTCAAATGGTATTTCTAGTTCTAGATCCCTGAGGAATTGCCACACTGTCTTCCACAATGGTTGAACTAGTTTACAGTCCCACCAACAGTGTAAAAGTGTTCCTATTTCTCCACATCCTCTCCAGCACCTGTTGTTTCCTGACTTTTTAATGATTGCCATTCTAACTAACTGGTGTGAGATGGTATCTCATTGTGGTTTTGATTTGCATTTCTCTGATGGCCAGTGATGATGAGCATTTTTTCATGTGTTTTTTGGCTGCATAAATGTCTTCTTTTCAGAAATGCCTGTTCATATCATTTGCCCACTTTTTGATGGGGTTGTTTGTTTTTTTCTTGTAAATTTGAGTTCATTGTAGATTCTGGATATTAGCCCTTTGTCAGATGAGTAGATTGCAAACATTTTCTCCCATTCTGTAGGTTGCTGTTCACTCTGATGGTAGTTTCTTTTGCTGTGCAGAAGCTCTTTAGTTTAATTAGATCCCATTTGTCAATTTTGGCTTTTGTTGCCATTGCTTTTGGTGTTTTAGACATGAAGTCCTTGCCTATGCCTATGTTCTGAATGGTATTCCCTAGGTTTTCTTCTAGGATTTTTATGGTTTCAGGTCTAACATTTAAGTCTTTAATCCATCTTGAATTAATTTTTGTATAAGGTGTAAGGAAGTAAAATAACAGAAATTATAACAAACTGTCTCTCAGACCACAGTGCAATCAAATTAGAACTCAGGATTAAGAAACTCACTCAGAACCGCTCAATTGCATGGAAACTGAACAACCTGCTACTGAATGACTACTGGGTACATAACGAAATGAAGGCAGAAATAAAGATGTTCTTTAAAACCAACGAGAACAAAGACACAACATACCAGAATCTCTGGGACACATTTAAAGCAGTGTGTAGAGGGAAATTTATAGCACTAAACGCCCACAAGAGAAAGCAGGAAAGATCTAAGATTGACACCCTAACATCACAATTAAAAGAACTAGAGAAGCAAGAGCAAACACATTCAAAAGCTAGCAGAAGGCAAGAAATAACTAAGATCAGAGCAGAACTGAAGGAGATAGAGACACAAAAAACCCTTCAAAAAATCAATGAATCCAGGAGCTGGTTTTTTGAAAACATCAACAAAACTGATGGACTGCTAGCAAGACTAATAAAGAAGAAAAGAGAGAAGAATCAAATAGACTCAATAAAAAATGATAAGTCTAGGGTCTTTTGATAGAATCTTTGTGGTTTTCTAAGCATAGAATCATATAATCAGTGAAGAGAGATAACATGACTTTTTTTTCCTACTTGGATGTCTTTTATTTCTGTAACTTGCCTAACTGCTCTAGCCAGGACTTCCAGTATTGTGTTGAATAGAGGATTTATAGTGAACATCCTTGTCTTGTTCCAGGTTTTAGGAAGAATGCTTTAAGCTTCTGCATATTCAGTATGGTGTTGACTGTGTGTTTGTCTCAGATGGCTCTTATTATTTTGAGATATATTCCTTCAATGTGTAGTTTGTTTAGGATTGTTATCAGGAAGGGATGTTGAATTTTATCTAATGCTTTTTTTTTTTATCTATTACGTTGACCATATGGTTATTGGTTTTAATTCTGTTTATGTGGTGAATCACATTTATTGATAAGCATGTGTTAAATTATCCTTGTATCCCAGCAATAAAACCTACTTAATTGTGATGAATTAACTTTTGGGTCTGGTGCTGGATTCAGATTTGCTAGCATTTTGTTGAGGATTTTTGTTTCTATGCTCATCAGGTGTATTAGCCTGTAGTTTCGTTGTTGTTACTGTTGTGTCTTTACCAGATTTTGCTATCAGGATGACATGGGTTTCCCAAAATGAGTTAGGGAGGAGGCCCCCCTCCTTGATTTTTTGGAATTGTTTCAGTAAGATTGGTACAAGCTCTTCTTTGTATGTCTGATAGAATTCTGCTGTGAATCCATCTGGTATAGGGCTTTTTTTATTTGATAGGTTTCTTAATGCTGATTCAGTTTCCTTACTTATTAGTCTGTTCTGGATTAATGTTTCTTCCTAGCTCAGTCTTGGGAGGTAGTGTTTCCATGAATTTATCTGTTTCTTACAGATTTTCTTGTTTGTGTGCATAGAGGTGTTCATAGCACTCTCTGAGGAGCCTTTGTATTCATATGGAATTGGCTGTGATGTCAACTTTGTCATTTCTGACTGTGTTTGATTGGATCTTCTCTCTTTTTTTTTGTTAACCAACTTTTAGTTTCATTGATTCTTTGTACAGTTCAATTTCATTTAGTTGTTTTCTGATTTTATTTATTTTAATCTGCTAGCTTTGTTTAGTTTGTTCTTGTTTTTCTAGTTCCTTTGGATGTTCGGTTAGGTTGCTAATTTGAGATATTTCTATCTTCTCGATGTAGATGTTCAGCACTATAAACTTTGTTGTTAACCTTGCTTTTGCCGCACCTCAGAGGTTGTGGAATGTTGTCTCTATTTTCATTTGTTTTTTAAAAAATTAATTTCTACCCTAATTTTGTTTTTTAACCAAAAGTCATTCAGGGGCAAGTTGTTTAATATACATGTATTCGTATGGTTTGAGAACTTTCCCAGTGTTTATGTCTGTTTTTATTCCACTGTGATCCAAGGAGATGCTTCATATAATTAAAATTTGTTTTTAATTTATCAATACTTGCTTTATGGCTAAGCATGTGTAAATTTTAGCATATGTTTCATATGAAGACAAGAGGAATATATATTCTGTGGCTGTTGGGTAGAGTATTCTGTAAATGTTTATTAAGTCCAATTGTTCAAGTGCTGAATTTAAGTCCAGAATTTCTTCGTTAGTTTTCTGCCTCAACAATCTGTCTAATGCTGTCAGTAAGGTGTTGCAGTCTGCCACTATTACTTTGTGGCTGTCAAAGTCTTTTCTTAGGTCTAGAATTGTTTTATAAATCTGGATACTTTAATGTTGGGGGCATATATATTTAGAATAGTTGAGTCTTCTCCTTAAATTGAACCCTTTATCATTATCTAATGCCCTTCATTTTCCTGTTTTCTGTTGTTAAACTCTATTTTATCTGATAAACGAATAGTGATCCTGCTTTTTTTTTTTCCATTTGCATAGTACACCTTTCTTTATCTCTTTACTTTGAACCTATGGCTCTCATTACACATCAGATGGGTCTCTGGAAGACAGTGGAAGGATGGGTCTTGTTATTTGTTTTTTTAATCCAATTTACCTCTCTATGTCTTTTAAATCGAGTGTTTAGACTGTTTATATTCAATGTTGATATTGATATTTGAGATTTTATCCCTGTCATGTTGTTAGCTAGTTGCTTTGTAGTCTCAGTTGTGTAGTTGCTTTATAGGGTCTATGGGCTGTGTGCTTTTGTGATAGCAAGTATAATCCTTTCATTTCCATGTCTAAAATTCCCTTAAGCATCTCTCATAGAGCCGATCTGGTGCTGATTAATTCTCTTATTGATTGCTTGACTGGGGAAGACTTTATCTCTCCTTTATTTATGAAGCTTTGTTTGGGAGAATATGAAATTCTTGGCTGGCATTTCTTTGCTTTAAGAATGCTAAAAATGGGCCCTCAATATCTTTTGGCTTGTAAGATTCCTGCTGAGAAATATGTTGTTAGTCTGCCAGGTTTCCCTTTGTAGGTAATATGACCCTTTTTCTTAGTTGCCTTCAATATTTTTTTCTTTTGCATTGACCTTGCATAGTCTGATGACTGTGTGCCTTGGGACTTATAGTCTTAGTATCTCGCAGGAGTTCTCTGGATTTCTTGCATTTACATGTCTACCTCTTCAGGAAGATTGCGGAAATATTTCCGAGTTATATCCTCAAATATGTCTTCCAAGTTGCTTGCTTCCTCTTCTCTCCCAGGTACGCTAATATCATAGATTTTGTTGTTTTACATGATCCCATATTTCTTGAAGGATTTGGTCATGTTTTGAAATTCTTTTACTTTATTTTTTTCTGACTAGGTAGATTTAAAGGATTAGTCTTTGATCTCTGAAATTCTTTTTTCTGCTTGGTCTAGTCTGCTGTTAAGGCTTCCAATTGTATTTTGAAATTTTTGTAGTAAACTTTTTAATTGCAGAAAATCTGTTTGGTTCTTTCCAATACAACTATGTCATCTTTTAAATTTTGAATTATTTTCTAGCTTCTTTGTGTTGAATTTCAACTTTCTCTCAGATCTTATTGAGTTTTTTTGCTATCCATATTCTTAATTCTATATCTGTCATTACAGACATTTCATTCTGGTTAGGATCCATTGCTTGGAAGCTACTGAAATCCTCTGGAGGTGACAAAACACTGGCTTTTTGTATTGCTGGAGTTTTTGTGCTGGTTGTTTCTCTTCTGAGAGCTGACACTTTGTATTTCTTTTTTAATTTGCTATCATTTGGATGTGACTTCTTGATTTTTTTATTCTGTTTTTTTTACCTTGGGGATATGACTGTGGCGTATATGGTGTTTCATTTATTGACTTCATTTCTGGGTGCTTTCAGAGTGCCAGGCCTCTGTAGGGGTTCCTTAGTTGCAGAAAGGTTTGTGTAGTGGCTTTCTAAGATGTTGTTGGTTGTAGTAATGTAATTTTGTCTGGTGATGTAATTCAGGCTGCAGTCTACTAGGTGGTCCTTAAGAGTAAGAGACAGTAGGTAGTGGTGGGAACAGAAGCAACAGAGAAGGAAGAAAAGCACCCTCCCTCAGGGTATGTTTGCCTGTAGTCATGGCAGAGCTGCTAAAGAAGCCCAAGAAACAGTCTCTTTCAACCCACACTTCCTGGGCCCAGTGGGAAGAGCCACTGCTGAGTCTGCAGCAGTTTAGTGAGGTGGGGTGTGGGGGGAAAGAGGTGACCCGCTTTCCATATCCATTCCTGGGCTTCAGTGGTGTTGCCTTCAGTAGCTGGTGTTATACTTGCATTTTCATTAACTTATGGTGGACTTTGAGTGGCTGCACTCTATCCTCCCTTAGGGACAATCCACACAAAGGTTTAGATCTCCAGGAGAGTGACATCTGCCTCCTTCTTATTCTTCAGAGCTAAGGAGCACTGTCCCCCAAGTGACCAAAAGAGCAGCCTGGGGCACCCAGCAATGACCCACACAGACAGGTTTCAGTTTCCAAAGCTACCCTGGCTGCAGTCTTGCCATCTGCAAGAAACCTCAGCTTCAGCAACACTCCTCGCACTCCAGTCCTGTAATGGGAGAGAGTCTAATTCCAGTGCCAGCTGCTGGGCACTCTCCACACACACCACTCATTGGAGCTCTGGAAGTCCTTCTCCCCATTCCAGAGCAAGCTCTCCAGTCTCTTTAGTCTTGAGAATAAAATGCCTGCCATTGCCACCAGTCACCAAACAACATCTCTAAACACTCAGAATGGTGCCGGGTGTGGGATTATAATTGGAGAGAGTGGGGCCCCTCTCAGGTGAACTACATGGGGAGTGTGGTTTGCTCATGTCTCAGTCTAACAACAGCAGTCTAGTAGGTGGTCCTGAAGAGTAAGAGGCAATAGGTAGCAGTGGGAGCAGAAGCAACAGAGAAGGGAGAAAAGTACCCTCCCGGCAGAGCAGTGGGTATTGTGCTAGACATACCTAGGATGGCCTTATTTCCCTGTCCCTTCTTGGCTAGGCAGCAGCTGCTGCCATATCATCCCAAGCTCAGGCCAAGGGTGGGCTTGGTCCAGCATTAAACTCTCAAAATAGTATCTTGAGCCTGGAGAGGGTAGGGCACCATCCAACCAAGCAGTGTCAACAAGAAGCCATGGGGAGTGCAGTCCAATTACAACTGGATCTCACATCAGCTCCTTGCAGAGCAGTGAGTATTGTCCTAGATATGCATGGGATGACATGGTTTCTCTGTCAGTCCTTGATCAGGTGACAGTTGCACTCATGTCAGCCTGAACTCAGGCCAAAGGCAAAACTCGGCCCAGTATTAAACTCCCAAAAATGACATCTTGGGCCTGGAACTAGACAGGGTCAGAGCACCACCAAGGCATGTAGTGTGAACAAGAAGCTGTGGAGTGTATGGTCCACTTGTGTCTTAATCTGATCAGCAACTTGTAGCAGAGTGGCAAGTACCCTACCAGAGGTTGCGTGGGTGTGCTTATTCTCCCCTGTTCCTCCTTGGATCATTGCAAGTGGCTATAGCCATTCCTGTAGGTCCCCAGTATCTGCACTCTCAAAATGGCTTCCCACTGAGGTTACTCCAGGCTCAAATGCCTCTGAGTTTCTGTGTGGGTTGCCTTTCTGGAGCAACATTTCTGAGAATCTTTAGGCAGCTCCATGTATCAGACATGAGGCCCTAGTGGTTGGTCA
This sequence comes from Homo sapiens, assembly GCF_000001405.40. Lineage (NCBI taxonomy): Eukaryota > Metazoa > Chordata > Mammalia > Primates > Hominidae > Homo > Homo sapiens. The sequence goes on along the minus strand of NC_000013.11, from coordinate 69,806,665 downwards.
AGGGTTTCTCCCATGGCCCAGATTGTTAAAGCTGATTTCTGAGCTCTGTGGGTTTCTATCTTATTGTTTCCCCACGTCCAGGGTCTCAGTTGGTTTCCAGCTGTCAGTCTGTTCCCAGCTGGGTAAGCTGCCTGGAACACTATCTTTACTTACTTCTGGCACTTCCCATCTCTTCTCTGATGAATCCAAGTGTTCTCTCCTAGATGACCTGTACAGTGTGAGTATGTACTTATTACTCTGGTTTGTCTCTGTGGAGGAGGTACATGCTACTTGGGTCTAGTCAGCCATCTTGATCTGTAGTTCTCTTAAGGTTTTATTAGACTGTGACTATTATCCTGGAAGGTAACTTAAACTATGTCTTGGTTAATATATGTGGACCCAGAGAACAGAAGCAAACATTTATCAAGTTGTGGCCATGTGAACTGTGCTTGAGTAATCAATTCATCTGAAATTCATTCTGGTATAAGGAGTAAGACAGGAATCAAGATTTACTTATTTTTCTCAAAAGAATAACAAATTATCTTAGATTTTTATATAATAAGATGTTTTCCATTGATGCGTATAACCACTCTTATTACATTAAAAATACTCATATGTATTAGGGTTATTTCTGGCTTTCTTTCAGATTCATTAATGTAGCTATTCTTCATCAGTAATTTTGTTTAAAGAAAACGCTATAGTTATATACTTTTTAATATCTGATAGGGTTTTTTCCCCTTGAGCAGCCTATTAGAAATTGTCTGGTTTTAAATAATTTACTTCCTAGTATTGTACAGTTAAGTTTCCAAAGAAATGCCAGTATAATTTTATAAATTCCTTGTACAAATATCATTATTAATATATTAAATGTTATATAATAAATTATGAAATAAGTAATATCATTCAGAATCAGTGTAGTTTTGTTTTTTCTTTTCTTCCATTCATTCAACAAATATCTCTCAACAGAATTGTAGTGTTGTTTTGTTTTTTTTTTTGTTTTTTTTCATCTAGAGCTGGTACTGACCTTGCTAATTTTATTTTTAGATTGTTTGCTCTTAATGGTGCTACCTTAAATAGGTTATTATCTTCTTTCCACTATCTAAATGGTTTTAATTTTTATTTAAATATTGTATTGACTTGTATTCTGCTTTTCTGATTTACCTACTTCCAGAAGTGTTTTATTTTTTCTAAGATTTTAAAGGTAAAAATTTTTAGTTATTAAGGTGAACTATTACATGTAATACATACAATAGAAATGTGTTCTATATTCTTTGTTTCCTTGGTTATGAGCCAAGAAGTAGACTTCTTTTTGTACTTCCTCATTTCAATGAGATTAGTTTAATAGCAAGCAAAATGCTGGATTTTCAAAATTTATAGATCTACTTCAACATCTAGCATTAAGTTTAATGGTAAACTTAAATGTATATGTCTATACATAGCTACATATCACTCTATTAATATTTTATCAGGGATTGATATGGAATATTTTGGTTGCTTATTTGGCACATTTGGAATTATAATGATTTAGAAATGTTTTCAAAGCCACTTTTATATAACAAATTACTTAAAAAAATAAAGACTTTTATTTGTGCTGGAAAAATATTTCTCCTGCAATGATACCTTTTATATAAGTATAAAAATGTTATACTAAAACTTTATTTTTCAGAGAAATATGAATACATGAAAGTCAATGAAATGCTTACACTATAAAACATTGAAAAAATAAGTAATTCTTTATAATGATGTTTTTTAAAGCTTGAAGTCTTATGTGTTATGGATCATAAAAAATTTTTTGATTTTAAACTATTCCAAAATGCATCTCACTATTTCCTGCTTTTTAAAAGACAATACATCAAACATAACAACTTTTTCCTAATGATTTGATGGCATCAAGGTCACCAAAGTGTTAGGCCAAGCTGTCCTTTAGGTATTATATAATATGGATTTTATCGTTTGTTGCTGTTGTTTAATAACCATAAGTGATTGTTCTATTTAAGTCGATGCATTCTTTTTTCCTGGTTATTTTCTCACTGCCACCCATTGCTGCTTTAAATTATCCTAAATCATTCTACTTTGTGAGTTTGTAAAATGGCTTGGAAGTCCAGTTATTAATATTGCATTAAAATTGCAGTAAAAAGTCATTGTGAGAACAGGTAAAGATCTCTCTGGTGAGTTGAATAAGAGAGCTTTATTTTCTTTTTAGGAGCTTTTTTGTGACATCTCTTTTGTCAGTTGAGAAAACTTTTTATCACTGAATTCTGTGCTGTATGCAAGATAAGTGAGGTTGCTATTTGCTTGAATTATAGATGTAGGAACAAATTCTGCTGTCTGTATTGCCAAACTAGAGTGTACAAACATTAATTACTATTTCCCCCCCCCACAAAAAAATTATATTTGTCTACATAAGTGAATATCTCCTGAGAGACCTAGAACTGCACTTTGGATAACATCCTGACCATTTTTTCTCAGTTTTATATTTTGAGAAAGGAGTCTACCGTTCGTTTTGTCATGAGGAAAGTAGTTTTGTATTTGTATTATATATAATATCTTCTGGTTAAATTATTGAACTTGAAAAACCAATACTTTATAAATTGTAAAAATGCACATTTGAAAGAACTATACTGTACTGCTGCTGTAACAAATTACCACAGAAAAAGTGGCTTAAAACAACTGCCATCTATTACCTCAGAGTTCTGTAGGTTCAAAGCCTGGGGTGGCATGTCTGAATTCTCTGCTCAAGATCACACAAGGCTGAAATCAAGGTGTTAGCTAGGCTATATTCTTATCTGGAACTTTTCCAAATTTATTTTGATTGTTGACAAAATGTATTCCTTGTGGTTGTAGAACTGAGGTACTGTTTTCTTGCTGGTTGTCAGGTCAGAATCATTCTCAGCTTCTAGAGACCACTTGCATTCCTTCTTATATGACCCATCTTCAAGCCAGGAACAGTAAGTCAAGTCCTGCTCATGCTTCAAACTCTCTGATTTTCCCTTCTACCACTAACTGGAGAAAGCTCTCCTTCCCCATCTACCACTAGCCTGAAGAAAATCTCTCACTTTCAGGGGATCACGTCATCAAGGCCAGCGAGATATTATTCCTATTTTAAAGTCAACAATGCTATATAGCGTAGCCGTTCATGGACTGATATTTCAACATATGCACAGGTTCTGGAAAATAGGTCATGTAATCTCAGGAAGGGAAATTTTTTAAATTCTACCCACTGCATATATTAATTGCAATTAACTCTTTTTACATCTGGGATGAAGTCATAAAAAGAAGTGTTTCTCAGAGTGGGCTCTAGAGCCAGGTTAATATTGTGGATGTACCAGGTGTTAACTGAGAGATGCTGTGCAAGTAATTAAAGTTTTCTGTAATTTGTTTTTATTATGTAAAATTGACACAATAATAATATGTATTTCATCAGGCTTTTATAAAATGAAATGTAGTAATGTAGGTAAAGCTCTTAGAGCAAAGGAAATATTCACAATATTATTTATTAATATCTTATTTAAAACTCCCTACACAAAACACCTTTACTCAATATTTATTTAAGAATAATATTTCAATTAAAATATCCCTAAAGTGTCAAGTAGCTCTTAATAATATACATATCATGAATTCTCTTGGTTATATGAATACTTCTGTTTAAGGCTGGTCGAGAGAAGCAGTGGGAATGGAGAATGAACAAAGAAATCTGTAATTGGTTATGATTGATTAGTTGTAAATGCAATGGCACTCAGACCAGCCTTATAAATACTTTTTATAGAAAATAATCAATGGACATTGTAGGAACCCAGAAATGTAGCAGGACAAGCCACAGACAAAACCCCTCAGACACCGAGTTAAAGAAGGAAGCGGTTTATTCAGCCGGGAGCATCGGCAAGACTCCTGTCTCAAGAGCCGAGCTCCCTGACTGAGCAATTCCTGTCCTTTTTAAGGGCTCACAACTCTATGGGGGTGCACGTGAGAGGGTCGTGATCGATTGAGCAAGCAGGGGGTACGGGACTGGGGGGCTGCATGCACCGGTAATTAGATTGGAACAAAACAGAACAGGGATTTTCACAGTGCTTTTCTGTACAATGTCTGTATTCTATAGATAACATAACTGATTAGGTCAGGGGTCGATCTTTAACTACCAGTCCCAGGGTGTGGCGCCAGGCTGTCTGCTTGTGGATTGCATTTCTGCCTTTTAGTTTTTACTTCTTTTTTCTACGGAGGCAGAAATTGGGCATAAGACAATATGAGGGATGGTCTCCTCCCTTATCCCCCATACTTTGAGAATCTCACTCAATAGTGGGAGTTCTTGGGTATATACTCAAAAGATTATAAATCATTTCACTGTAAAGACACATGGATACGTATGTTTATTGCAGCGCCATTTACAATAGCAAAGACTTGGAACCAACCCAAATACTTACCAATGATAGACTGGATAAAGAAAATGGGGCACATATACACCATGGAATACTATGCAGCCATAAAAAAGAATGAATTTATGTCCTTTGCAGGGACATGGATGAAGCTGGAAACCATCATTCTCAGCAAACTAACACAGGAACAGGAAATCAAACACTGCATGTTCTCACTCATAAGTGGGAGTTGAACAGTGAGAACACATGGACGCAGGGAGGGGAACATCAGACACCAGGGCCTGTCAGGGGGTAGGGGGGCAAGGGGACAAATACTTAATGCATGTGGGACTTAAAACCTAGATGACGGGTTGATAAGTGCAGCAAACCACCATGGCGCATGTATACCTATGTAATAAACCTGCATGTTCTTTCGTGTATCCCAGAACTTAAAGTAAAATTAAAAAATAATAAAAAGAAAATAATCAATGGGCATTGTAGGAATTATTTCTAATAACTCAGTATCAAAATTTGATATTACTACAAATGCTACACACCTATCTCTTAACTAACATATAGTCTATAATAAATTATCAAGTTTATAAAATTGGACATAAATATATCCTATGTTGTCTTATATCAAATAGTCAGAAAAATTTCTATCTAGTATTTCAGATTTTCTATATATGATGAATGAGATTCACCTTTGAATTATGTAACTACATCAGGTTAAGATACTTTACGATTCTTTTAGATTTTATTAAATTATAGTATACCTTTTATAAAATAATATTATTACTGTACAAAAGCTCACACAATGACAACATAATTGCCTACTAAAGCTAATGCAACCTTGACATGTTTGTAATGGCAGCAGTCTTGAGTTTAAGAGAAAAAACAATGTGGATATAACCACTCCTAATAATAGTTCTCTATGGCAGATGTGGCCATGTGCTTGTTTTTATGTACTTAAACATTATTTAAATTATTATATGTTTATTGTTTGGAGATTGCACATTTTAAAAATCTAGATTTCTGCCTCCTCTTAATCAGTCAAAATGCCTGGCAATACTCAGCCAGAATTTCCAATGGCAACAACAAAGTAGTGATTGTTATTTTTCAGTAGAGTGGTCATTCTTCAGTTAACAAAAGTGGTCAGGACTCTGTCATGCCTGCAGTCCCACATTTCATTATATTTTAAATAAATGTATGGGGTATATATGTGCAATTTTGTTACATGCATGGATTACATTGTGGTCCATCGAGGGCTTTAGGTAGTCATCACCCGAATAATGTATATTCTACGCACAGAGTAATTCGACTTCACCTTGTAGGTATTTGAGATACCAGTGATGGCTTCATTAACAGAGTAACCCTAAAATAATTATGTCTTAAAGTAAACTTTCATTTTGAATCCCTTCCAAGTTTATTACATAGCACTGCAGCAGTCCACTCTAACTTGTATTCTGTTTGTAATCTATATTATGATAAATATTGGTTTTTCTCTAAGGGACAACAAAGGCTAAAATTACTCACGACTGACTTTGTCCTTTTCTTCTGACTCAGAAAATACCCAGGGAAATACATACAGTCTTAGAAACAAAAGAAAACAACAGAACTCACAAATTGATAAATTAATAGTAATTATAGAATGAGGTGGCTTAGATAGAAAGCTAATAAAGTACATTGGTGAGGAAATTCCATGAAGGATATTATTATTAATAATTTTCATAAAAAGAAAGCATACCTTAATTTTATTATTCTTAAAAAGAAGACAAAATGTTTACAATACCTGCTGACATTTGAATAAGAAAATCAATTGTATTGGCTAGTATGAGTAAGCTCTACAAACATAAAATATCCTTTTTCATTTTGTATTGCTTAACTTTATATAACTGAGCAAGATTGAAGACTGGAGTATAAATAGGCCTTGGTTTCTGAGGTAAGCTGAATAATGCACCTCCCTCCACCCCGCCCAGAAAAATGTCCATATCCTAAACCCTGGAACCTGTGAATATGTTATGTTACACAGAAAGAGTGGGATAAAGCTTGTGAAGGAATTAAAGTTGTTAAGCAGCTGAATTTAACATAAACAGATTATTCTACATTATGTCTGATTAAACTGGTATGAGCCCATTGTAATCACAAGGGTCAATGTCAGAGAAATGCAATGTTGCTGACTTTGGGGATAGAAGATGGAGTAACAAGGAATGTGGTGGCCTCTAGAATAGCAGTCCCCAACTTTTTGGGCACCAGGGACTAGTTTGGTGGAAGAACATTTTTCCATGGACAGGGGTCGGAGAGTGGGGGTTGGTTTCAGGGTGAAATTGTTCCACCTCAGGTTATCAGGCATTAGATTCTCATATGGTATGATCAACCTAGATCCCTCCCATGCACAGTTCACAATAGGGTTTGCGCTCCTATGAGAATTTAATGCCACGGCTGGTCTGACAGAAGGTGGAGCTCGGGGTGCCGCTCACCTCCTGCTGTGCGTCCTGGTTCCTAACAGACCACGGACCATTACTGGTCCACGTCCTGGAAGTTGGGGACCCTTGTTCTAGAAGATAGAAAAGGCAAGAGAACTGATTTTCTCCTGCAGCCTCCAGAAAGGAACAGAGCCATGGCAGCATTTTGATTTTAGTGCAGAAATAACCATTTCAGATTTCTGACCTCCTGAACTGTAAGATAACAAATCTGTGTTATTTGTCACTAAATTGGAAATATTCTTAACAGTAGCCATAGTAAATTAATATAAATTCTAATTTGAAAAATGAAGATGGAAATGAGCTCCTATTTCTGCTGTAGCTACTAGGATAAGTGAGTAGGTCACTTTTGAAGACTGAAGTTACAGGAAAAACTGTAAAGGTTAAAAATCCTGTCATGTATTGAGATTTAAGACTTATCTAGCTCATTTGAATGAGGCTTTGAAATCCAAATCAATTCCTGACTTTTCCTTTTTGAATTGCAACTCCTTTGCTTGCTCGGAAGTCTTAATTTCACTCATTCCTAACTATTTCCTCTGAGGAGGGTAACTGGACCTCAAATTCCCTGCAAAGATTTTTAGCAAGGCTTTGGAGTCTGTGGGAAGTACAGTTGTTCAAGTACTTTCTTCCTTGTCCACTCATACCAGAAAATATGAGCCTAATGAGATTGTGTTAATTAGGATTAGATTACTTTCTTCTGCCATCATCGGTCAAATATAGTCACAAGAGACAGATATCTGTGTAAACCTTTTTTTTTTTTTCTTTATGCAACTGAGTCTTACTCTGTTGCCAGGCTGGAGTGCAGTGGCACGATCTCAGCTCACTGCAACCTCTGCCTCCCACGTTCAAGGGATTCTCTTGCCTTAGCCTCCTGAGTAGCTGAGACTACAGGCATGAGCCACCATGCCCGGCTATTTTATTTTTATTATTATTTTTTGTATTTTTAGTGGAGATGGGGTTTCGACAGAGTTTGAGGCCAGGCTGGTCTCAGTCTCCTGACCTCAGATGATTCACCTTCCTTGGCCTCACAAAGTGCTGGGATTACAGGTGTGAGCCACACACCAGGCCATCTGTGTATAACTCTTAATTTTTAGTTATGCATTCATGTAATATAAAAGTTATCAAGCTTTGAGAATCCAGATGACTTTGAAGTTATTCAACTATGTAGTTTGCTTTAGAATTTTGATTTGAAGTCAAATGAATAAAACATTCAATATCCAATATAATAAATATATTAAAATATAAAATACATCTGTTTAAAATATTATACATGTTAATAAACAGTATTGAATAACTTTTGTGAACATTGCAATTTATTTTTATCCTAACAATAACAATAATTTCCTAATAGTTCAAAATTAGTTATATATTGGAATGAACCTATAATTTTAGCAATATCAGAAAGCAGATTTGACATATCTAATTATTGCTATTACCTTTAAGTAAAAATTGAGCATAAATTGTATCGTTTTTACTTTAATTAGCAAAACTTCTGTTATGAAAGTGTTTATGTTCATTTAGTTCATTACTAGTTAGGTTCTAAAGAGTAAATGAGTCCCCAGAGGAATATATTCCCTAGATTTGCAAACTTTTATTACAGGTAAAATAGATCATCAGTGCTTAAGTGAAAGTACACAAGAATGTTAATTTGCTTTGTAGAAATGTTTCATGATTGAAGGTATAACATTGGTGAAGGTGAGTCTGAACATGAAGTCAAACACTACATCAAGATCAGTGTCTGTTAGCTTATATTATCTTATAAACATTTGGGAGCTTGTTCTACACAGGCATTTTTAATGAGAATTGGGTAATTAAACCCATTAAAACAAATCTCACCAGTAATTTAGCTGCTTCTTTCAATTTCTATTTTATTAGTCAGAGTTATTGCATTTCTCAAACTTATATGTAAAAAGCTTTTAAGAAATATAAGCTATATTATTTAGAGATTCTAACATGATTGTTCAGGATAGAAGATCATTTTATAAAATTCTATTAAGCTATTCCCCAGATTTTTTTTTTTTTTTTTTAGATGGAGTCTCGCTCTGTCACCCAGGCTGGGGTGCAGTGGCGCGATCTCTGCTCACTGCAAGCGCCGCCTCCCGGGTTCATGCCATTCTCCTGCCTCAGCCTCCTGAGTAGCTGGGACTACAGGCACCTGCCACCATGCCCAGCTAATTTTTTTTTTTTTTTTTGTATTTTTAGTAGAGACGGGGTTTCACCGTTAATTAGCCAGGATGGTCTCGATCTCCTGACCTTGTGATCCGCCCGTCTCGGCCTCCCAAAGTGCTGGGATCACAGGCGTGAGCCATTGCGCCTGGCCTAAGCTCTTCCCCAGATTATTTTTTAAAAGCTGGTTTAAAAAGCATAGCAAATATTTGCTTATATATCTTACAATTGACTTTTAAAACCTTCAGTTATTTAAGGCGTATGACAAATTTAAAGAAAAACATGGTAATATTTTATTGAATTAACTTTCAGAAATTATCCAAATAACATGCATAGCTTAATTATTTAAAAGGGCTTTCATAAATATTTTTCAACCTGGTATTATGCTACATTTTTAAATGACAAAAGTGATAGAGGGAATTTGTAAAATCCACTGACAGAACTGGGTCATGCTCACCAATGTTTCTATAGAATCAATAGTTTAGCATGAGACCATTATGTAATTCGAACAAGGTGAACATTTGTGTCTATTTTGATCATTCATGTCTGCCAAGAAGAGAAAATAAAGTAGTTGAATTACTACTCCTTTTGTTTTTCTGCCACTTTTTCTTTTAAAAAAAATGAATATGACAAGAGTGTTTTCACATCCTAATTTGTACCCTGCTTTGGCAGGCTGTTTGTTGAATTTATAGCAATTGGTGACTTTTTGATTTTATGTTTTATCAGGAGCTACAACTATAGAGAAATATGATCTGAGAACAAATCTGTGGATCCAGGCAGGGATGATGAATGGCAGAAGGCTGCAGTTTGGTGTGGCTGTTATTGATGACAAACTCTTTGTAATTGGAGGTCGAGATGGCTTAAAGACATTGAACACTGTTGAATGTTACAATCCCAAAACCAAGACATGGACTGTCTTACCACCAATGTCAACACACAGACATGGTCTAGGTAAGATCTTACTTTATTGATATTACTTTTAGAAACATGTTATTGATAATGTAACTATATGATAAAATATATTATTGATGTCTGTCTTAGTAAATTTGTGTTGCGATAAAGGAATACCTGAACCTGGGTAATTAACATAGAAAAATTTCTTGGCTCACTATTCTTCTAGCTGGAATATTAGGCCTTTAGTGAAAGTTTCCAAGTTTCCACTCATGACAGAAGGCAAAGGGAGGCCATGCATTCAGAGATCACATGGTTACACAGGAAGCAAGAGAGACAGGAGCAGGTGTCAGGCTCTTTTTAACAACCAGCTCTTGAGGGAACTAATAGAACAAGACCTCATTACCATGAGGACAGCACCAAGCCATTCATGAGGGATCCGCTCCCATGATCCAAACATCTCCCAGTAGGCCCCACCTCTGACACTGGAGATCAAATTTCAACATGAGTTTTGGGGGGACAAACATCCAAACTATGACAATGTCATCAATTATCATTATCTTTAAGTAAATTATGGGCTTATTTGAAGCATATTTTGTATTTAAATTTCTTGACATCTTCCTGTGTTTACTAGTCTTAATTTTAAACCGTTGAGATACATATTAAAGTTCTCTAAAAGAGTAGACTCCAAGCCATCCACAAAGTAGACCTCAAGCTGTCCTCAAAGATCATACGATATGTACAGTTGAATATGGAAAAATGAAGTAACATGGAAAGGCCGAAGTAGTGCAACCCAGAGGGAAAAATAGTTAATGTGGGTTGAGTGAAACTTAAGGTAGTTTCTCTCACATTATTGATTAAGCACATCTATGTCTTTGAACCTAATTGATTCCACCTTGAAAAATCTGTGGGGAAGAGGACAATAAACGTTTAGAGAAAGAGCAACACATTCGCTGGCACCATAAGTCATTATGACAGGGTTTATCTGTTCCCTGCTATGGGGTAACCAGGAACTAGAGAGAACTATACCTGGATTCGGATCTCGATGTGCATCTTGAATTTATCACTTTCTATTTGCATGATTTGGGGCCAGCATTTAAACTGAGCCTTGGTTTTGTGATTTGCCACCAATTCAGGGTTTTTAAGTAGACAAAAATATAATAATTAAAATGACTATGAAATCACTTTGTAAATTGTAAAGTCCTATATACCTATTATAAAGAACAATTTAATAAAGACTAACAGTTCTTGAATTTACACTTTGTCTTATGAGGATTGTAAGGAGAAGTACAAATTACTTTCTTTTAAAGATCTGAAATATGCCAGCAAATTGACTAAGTGCTTCCTTTCCTATATTTAGAACATACATGTTAGACAGATAACAGAGTTTAATTGCAAATCCACAGATTTAGACATTCACAGGTAAGCAAAATTAATACTTGTTCAATGTTCATGTTCCCAGCACTGTATTTTGCATTCATGTCTACTCCACCATCAATCCAAAGTAAAATTTAAAGAAATTAAATATACACAGATTGATGGGGGAAGAGAGAGAAAAGGAAAGAGAGAGAGAAGGAAAGATGACTGACAATGCCCTTGTAGAAGACTGCCTTTGATTTACACGCCAATAAAAGGTTCAGTCAGTTAAAGCCAGGTTGATGGGGGCACAAGATATCTGTGTTCTCCGATGAGGCAGAGTGCTTCCTTTATAATCAGTCTTATTCCTTTATGATCAGTTGAATCATAGGAAATTCGGCATTATGTATCGTACTCAAATACAATAAACATCCTCGGCCTAAGATTGCTGCTCTTCCAATGTAAAGTTTCAGCCTTTGATTTACCTCCTTCCATCTTCCAGGGACTTCCATTGCATAGATGTTGATATTCCTTAATCTATCATATTATTAAGTTTTATTTTATATTTTTGTCTTTATCCTTTCCTGAGAGGTAACTTTAATATTCAGCCTTCTGTATTGTTCTTAATCTGTGTGCATCATGGTATATATTTCATGTATTGATATCTTAATGTCAATTAAATTTGTTTTTTACATTCTTGCTATCCCTACTTGGTAATTCATTATAATTGCTTTCTTCTTCTTAGTGGTTTTCATACTCTCCCTTATCTCTGTTAGGCTACGTACTGTTCCTATTTCAAATTCCTATCTGCTTCTTTAACTCTTTTTTATTGTAGATTCATCTTCCTTCTCTCTCCTTCCCCCAGCTCTTTTTTTTTAATCTCTCTCTCCTCTTTCTCTGTTGTTCATCCTTTTTCTCCTCTTTTTTTTTCTACTGTTTCTTTCCTGCTCTTCTTTCTAATTCCTCTCTCCCACCTTTAAGATGCTCTGTTTCTTTCTCTTTCTCTTCTAATGCTGGTTAATGGTAGTTGCAGCCTCTGAAATACATAATTCTTTTATCTGAGTACTCATGTGGCCAGTATCAGATACTTTGGGTAATTGTATGAAGGGCTAAGGCATATGATACGTTTTTGTGTCTTATCAAAACAATCAGGAGTAGCTGGGGGAATTACAGCTGGGCATGAAGCCCTAAGCCTGTAAGCTGACTTCGCTCAACCTATTTGCTGTTATCTCTAGTATGTAGACCTCAGGGGTTGCATCTATTTACTTCCATTTGCACATAAATCCTCTTAAGATTTTCTTTCTTATCTGTGGATGCCTTAACCTTAGAGCTGGTAGCTTAAATGAGAAGGTAATATTCATGACCAGCAAGTCTGTTTGCTTCTGCTATTCAAAATTCCTCATTCAAGCTGGGCTCTGATGGCATTGTGATGTTAACAATCCAGTTCTGGCAAGTTCTGCACTGACACTGATGTATCATCACTGAGGGATAGGAAACATGCAGTAACTCTTCCTAAGGGAACAATATGGGGTAGTAAAAAAAGAACATATCAAGTTTTCCTCCCAGATATTTTCTCAAGGCAGTGCTCTAAATTTTTATCTCACTCAGAACGTCACAAATGATGTCAGGCTCTCAAATATATATGATTACTCTCTCTTCAGTATAATCGGCAGGATTGGGTTTAAGTGTGAAACCAACAGTTTGTGCTAGTTTTCTACTCGTTCAGAAACTAAAATGTATCATTTTATTTGCCACACCATTAATTTGTATCTATGTGTGGTATGCAGAGGTTTTATAAAATTGAATATATAATAACATATTATACATTCAAGTGAAAAGAAGCTAGAGTCTAAAGTAAAATTTTAAAAATTGAAAAAAATGAAACCTCAAAATGTGTTTTGACTTATCTAGCTTTTTTCCCTTTGATTTATGTAAAAAAAAAACTTACATGATTTTATGAGAAAGTCACATGAGTTCTGTAGTTGCTAAAACTGCGTGGTTTAAAATGTTTCACAGCTATCGAAAAATGATCATTCTGCTGGATAAAGTTACATATAAAAATTATATTCATTTAAATTCTGTGACATCAAGGGAGCAAAGATCTGCCCAGGGAATTAAACAAATTAAGACCACACTTTTCTCAGTATGCTACAAATTTTTATTTTATCACTTAAGTCTTTAAGCATATAATTCTATATATTATCTTTTTTCATAATATTTTATGTCATATAAAATTGAATAAGACATTACTACAATGCACTATTTCAGTTAAGTGTTTTAGGAGAAATTGGTAAAGCATAACAGTGATTATTTATTATGGATTTTTTATGTGCTATGCAACATCTTATATATTAAATATATGGTAGGGGTTGTTTCTGCTTTTAGTTTGGTTTCAATTCAGATATAATTCACATATCATAAAGTTAATTAAATTTTAAAGTACAGAAATCAGTGTGTTTGAATATATTGAGATGAGCAGACATCACCACTAGCAAATTCCAAAACATTTTTGTCATCCTGAAAAGAAATCCTATACCCAATACATTGTCAGTCTTAATAACCCAGTCTTTCCTTAGCAGCAATTAATCTGCTTTTTATCTCTGTGGATTTGCTCATTCTGAATATTTCATGTAAAAATAATTATACAATTTCTGGCCTTTTGTGTATGGCTTCTTTCATGTAGCACAATGTTTTAAAGTCAATTTCAGGTAGTGTATATCGATATTTCATTCCGTTTATGGATGAACAATATTCCATTATTAAGCTTTACCACATTTGTTAATACGTCATCAATAGAAGGACATTTGTTTCTATAGTTTGGCTGTTATGACTTAAACTACTATATATGCCTTTTGTTTGAACATATGTTTTCAATTGTTTTTGGTATATATGTAGGTGTGGGATTATTGAGTCCTGTGGTTAATTCTTGGTTTCACTTTTGGAGAAACTGCAAAACTGTTTTCCAAAGTGGCTGCACCATTTTCTGTTCACACCAGCAACGTATAAGGGTATCAGTTTCTTCACATTTTTGCCTAAAATTGTGATTTTATTTAAATAATCCCAGTATATTTGAAGTAGTATCTCATTGTGGGTTTATAAGCATTTCCTAGTTTCTCATTTCTAATTATTTTTGAGAATCTTTTTTGTATACCTTCTTTGGAGAAAGCTCTATGGAAATATTTTCCTATTCTTGTCTTGGGGTTATTTTTCTTTTTATTGTTGAGTTATAAGTGTTCCTTTTACGTTTTGATACTCTGGTTAGAAGGCCTCTATCAGACTAAGATTTGTAAATATTTTCTCCCATTCTATGAATTTTTTTTAGTTTTAAGTTCTGGAGTACATGTGTAGGATGTGCAGGTTTGTTACATAGGTAAACATGTGCCATGGTGATTTGCTGTGCCTATCAACCCATCGCCTAGGTATTAAGCCCAGCATGCATTCGCTATTTCTCCTGACGCTCTGCAATTTTCTTAATCGTGCCTTTGGAAGCACAGAAGTTATTAACTTCATGAAATTCTATTTATTTATTTATTTAGCTTGTGGTTTTATTGATAAATCCAAAAAATTATTTTCTAATCTATGTTCATGAAGATTTATGCCTGTGTTGTCTTTTTAAAGTTTTAGATTTCAAACATTTAAGGTCTTAAATTAAGAAATATGATCCGTGCTTTGAGTTATTTTTGTATTTGTCATGAGATAGCAGTTCTACTTCATTCTTTTGCATGCTGTCCTTGCTTCTTTTGTTGAAAAGACCTTTCTTTCCCACTGAATTCTTGGCACCCTTGTCAAAAATCAATTGGCCATAACTGTGAGGGTTTATTTTTGTATTTTTCAATTCTATTACATTAGTCTATGTGTATATCTTTATGCCATTCCCACATTTTCTTGTTTACTGAAGCTTTGTAGTAGTTTTTAAAATCATGTAGTGTGATCACACTGTCTTTGGTTTTTATTTTAAGAATTTTTGGATATTCTGGGTCCCTTGTATTTCCATATTTTTTTAAAAAAGATCAGTTTATCAATTTCTACAAAAGGGTACCTGGGATTTAAATATTGATTGCATTGAATCTCCAGATCAATTTGTGAGTATTGCCACGTAAAAAAAAATAAATCTTCCAATCTTGTATATGAGATGTCATTCTGTTGAGTTAGGTCCCTAGTCTTGTACCTATTTTGCTAAATTTATTCCTAAATAATTTATTTTTGATATTATTATCAATGTGATTGTTTTCTTCATCTCATTTTCAGATTTTTTATTGCTAGCGTATAGAAATACAGTTTGTATTTGTATATTTAACTTGTATCCTGAAATCTGGCTGAACATATTTAATAGATTAATATATTTCTTTGTATTTATTATTATTTTTTCTTTTTTATGTGTGTGTGTGTGTGTTTCCCCCACAGCAATGGCTTGACCCTCCAGCATTCACTATACAAGTGACTTTCACTATTAAATATGTTTCTCCTTTTTTAAAAATAGATGTTTTTATCAGGCTGAGAAAGGTCCCTTATATTCCTAGTTCAATGAATGTTTTATTTGTTGTTGTTTTTGCTTTTAGAAATGGGATTTCCCCATGTTGACCAGGCTGGTCTTGAACTCCTGACCTCAGGTGATCCACCTGCCTCGGCCTCCCAAAGTGCTGGGATTACAAGCGTGAGCCACCTTGCCTGGCCCCTAGTTCAATGAATGTTTTTATCATGAAAAGGGTATTGGATTTTCCTGTATCTATTGAAATATGCATGTGATTTTTGTCTTTTTTCAATTAATTAGTAGAGTATATTAAATTAAAATTTTCAGATGTTAATACACATTGTCTTTTTCAAATACATTACACTTAGTCACAGTGTAGAACTCTTTTTATATTTTGCTGTATTTCTTTATTTGTTTGTTAGTATTTTGTGGAAGATTTCACATCTATAGTCACAAGAGATACTGGTCTAGAGTTAGTTATCATGTCTCTGTCTGGTTTAGGTATCAAGGTAATATTGGCACCATGGATGAATTGGGAAATGTTTTCTCATATTCAGTTTTGTGGAATATTTTGTAGTGGATTGGTGGCAACCACAACATTACAGAGAAGGAGATAAAAATAAGCATATTTAAACCTCACTGTTCTGTAGATTTCATTGTTTTTCTTGAATACATGCTTCCTATATTGTTCCCAGCCTTATTTTTAGTTTCCAGAGTTTAATATTTTTTTGCCAGTGTTCTTATTATTAGTAGATATTTGAAGGTTGTTATTCATGCAATTCCTGACAATGTCACTATAAGAGGTTGCTTTTATATGGGTACAACAAGGATAAACTAAGTGATCCATAAATAAGAGGAATCTTTTGGAAACATAATGGTTAGCTTAGAAAATTGACCAAATGTGTCAGAAGTGGCTAACACCAAGAGAAGCTTGATAGTTAAATAGAGACCACAATTACATCTCGGTGAACGCCTGGTGAGGACAAAGATGTTTCTATGGAAAGACGCTGGATGCTTCAGCTGGCGTCTCTGCCTCTACCTACTCTAGACGTATTAGGTAGCTCTAAGTTACATTCTCCTCCAAACTTACTTAATGTTGCTTCAACCTTTGACAATGCAAAACAAATACAAAACAAAATCTTTCTTTCCTTCTTTGCTTTGGTCACTCCAGATTTAAAGTCTCTTGTTGGAAGCACACTATTGGCCTTACGTTTTCAAGGTGAGGAAGGAGAAGTAGCTCAACTTATTGTCATCAATAGTGAAATACAAGCCTTGCTTTCCAAGAACACTGATGTCTATATATGTTTCCAAAGTAAGAATGATCAGATAGTAGGACAGTAGAGGAAAAAAAATGGTCATTTGTTCATTCTACTATTGGTTAACTGATTAAATTCTCACAACTACCCTATAACACAAATACTGTTTATGTCATTTATACTGTTTATGTCATTTTAATTGTACAAAAAGTGATGAAAAAAGTAGTCAACTAAATTTCCCTATTTCACATCACGTTACAAGGAAAACTTTGGATTTAATCTCAGATTCCTCGACTCAATAGTCATATTTTTTCTAACATATATGCTGTTGCCAAAAAAAAAGTAAATAATAATGTAATAATATTTTGATTTTTTATATTTTTAATTTATTAAATAAGACTTATTTTGTCAAGTTACCCATACAAAATAAAAGACAGACAGACATGTAAAATAATTTAAAAAAGTAATTTTAAAAAAATTCTGAAATTCAATGTCTGAGTGAAATTGATAGCATAGATCGATCCTAAAGATTCCTGTGGAATAAATTAAATTCATGCAATGATTTAATTAAAGTATTTTAAATTTAGAGGATAGATACAGATTTTAATATAGGCATAGGTATAGACAGATGGATATGTAGGTAAATAAGTAGATAGATAGATAGATAGATAGATAGATAGATAGATAGATAGATAGAGTCCTGTGGAGTCCAGTGTTTATCTTTTTCTCCTGAATTCTCCTGAGAGGGGAAAAGAGGAAAACAGTGTTAGAACTATGACTGTCATTTTTGTAATAGCCATTGTAATATCATTAGAATAATAGAGTTTATAACTAATAAATCAGAAAAAGGTCCCCTGTATTCTGCAATTTAAAGATTACCTATCTTATAGGCTGATCTCTGATCAAGTCTTTCTAAAATCTTCATTTTATTCATCACTTCTGTGTACCTGGAGCTCCAAGTATTTATTGCTTAATATTATTTATACACTGTCTATCAAGATTCCTAGGCTATGAGTTAAGATATACATAAATACTATATTTTCTATTATTATTATTATACTTTAAGTTTTAGGGTACATGTACACAATGTGCAGGTTTGTTACATATGCATACATGTGCCATGTTGGTGTGCTGTACCCATTAACTCATCATTTAGCATTAGGCATATCTCCTAATGCTATCCCTCCCACCTCCCCTGACCCCACAACAGTCCCCGAAGTGTGATGTTCCCCTTCCTGTGTCCATGTGTTCTCATTGTTCAATTCCCACCTATGAGTGAGAACATGTGGTGTTTGGTTTTTTGTCCTTGTGATAGTTTGCTGAGAATGATGGTTTCCAGTTTCATCCATGTCCCTACAAAGGACGTGAACTCTTTATTTTTTATGGCTGCATAGTATTCCATGGTGTATATGTGCCATATTTTCTTAATCCAGTCTATCATTGATGAACATTTGGGTTGGTTCCAAGTCTTTGCTATTGTGAATAGTGCCACAATAAACATATGTGTGCATGTATCTTTATAGCAGCATGATTTATAATCCTTTGGGTATATACCCAGTAATGGGATGGCTGGGTCAAATGGTATTTCTAGTTCTAGATCCCTGAGGAATCGCCACACTGTCTTCCACAATGGTTGAACTAGTTTACAGTCCCACCAACAGTGTAAAAGTGTTCCTATTTCTCCACATCCTCTCCAGCACCTGTTGTTTCCTGACTTTTTAATGATTGCCATTCTAACTAACTGGTGTGAGATGGTATCTCATTGTGGTTTTGATTTGCATTTCTCTGATGGCCAGTGATGATGAGCATTTTTTCATGTGTTTTTTGGCTGCATAAATGTCTTCTTTTCAGAAATGTCTGTTCATATCATTTGCCCACTTTTTGATGGGGTTGTTTGTTTTTTTCTTGTAAATTTGAGTTCATTGTAGATTCTGGATATTAGCCCTTTGTCAGATGAGTAGGTTGTGAAAATTTTCTCCCATTTTGTAGGTTGCCTTTTCACTCTGATGGTAGTTTCTTTTGCTGTGCAGAAGCTCTTTAGTTTAATTAGATCCCATTTGTCAATTCTGGCTTTAGTTGCCATTGCTTTTGGTGTTTTAGACATGAAGTCCTTGCCCATGCCTATGTCCTGAATGGTACTGCCTAGGTTTCCTTCTAGGGTTTTTATGGTTTTAGGTCTAACATGTAAATCTTTAATCCACCTTGAATTAATTTTTGTATAAAGTGTAAGGAAGGGATCCAGTTTCAGCTTTCTACATATGGCTAGCCAGTTTCCCCAGCACCTTTTATTAAATAGGGAATCCTTTCCCCATTGCTTGTTTTTGTCAGGTTTATTGAAGATCAGATGGTTGTAGACATGCGGCATTATTTCTGAGGGCTCTGTTCTGTTCCATGGATCTATATTTCTGTTTTGGTACCAGTACCATGCTCTTTTGGTTACTGTAGCCTTGTAGTATAGTTTGAAGTCAGGTAGCATGATGCCTCCAGCTTTGTTCTTTTGGCTTAGGATTGACTTGGCAATGAGGGCTCTTTTTTGGTTCCATATGAACTTTAAAGTAGTTTTTTCCAATTCTGTGAAGAAAGTCACTGGTAGCTTGATGGGGATGGCATTGAATCTATAAATTACCTTGGGCAGTATGGCCATTTTCACGATATTGATTCTTCCTACCCATGAGCATGGAATGTTCTTCCATTTGTTTGTATCCTCTTTTATTTCATTGAGCAGTGTTTGTTTTGTAATTCTCCTTGAAGAGGTCCTTCACATCCCTTGTAAGTTGGATTCCTAGGTATTTTATTCTCTTTGAAGCAATTGTGAATGGGAGTTCCCTCATGATTCGGCTCTGTTTGTCTGTTATTGGTGTATAAGAATGCTTGTGATTTTTGTACATTGATTTTGTATCCTGAGACTTTGCTGAAGTTGCTTATCAGCTTAAGGAGATTTTGGGCTGAGACAGTGAGGTTTTCTAGATATACAATCATGTCATCTGCAAACAGGGACAATTTGACTTACTCTTTTCCTAATTGAATACCCTTTATTTTCCTCTCCTGCCTAATTGACCTGGCCAGAACTTCCAACAGTATGTTGAATAGGAGTGGTGAGAGAGGGCATCCCTGTCTTGTGCCAGTTTTCAAACGGAATGCTTCCAATTTTTGCCCATTCAGTACGATATTGGCTGTGGGTTTGTCATAGATAGCCCTTATTATTTTGAGATATGTCCCATCAATACCTAATTTATTGAGAGTTTTTAGCATGAAGGGTTGTTGAATTTTGTCAAAGGCCTTTTCTGCATCCATTGAGATAATCATGGGGTTTTTGTCTTTGGTTCCGTTTATATGCTGGATTACATTTATTGATTCACGTATATTGAACCAGCCTTGCATCCCAGGGATGAAGCCCACTTGATCATGGTGGATAAGCTTTTGATGTGCTGCTGGATTTGGTTTGCCAGTATTTTATTGAGGATTTTTGCATCAATGTTCATCAAGGATATTGGTCTAAAATTCTCTTTTTTGATTGTGTCTGTGCCAGGCTTTGGTATCAGGATGATGCTGGCCTCATACAATGAGTTAGGGAGGATTCCCTCTTTTTCTATTGATTGGAATAGTTTCAGAAGGAATGGTACCAGCTCCTCCTTGTACCTCTGGTAGAATTCGGCTGTGAATCCATCTGGTCCTGGACTCTTTTTGGGGGGTAAGCTGTTGATTATTGCCACAATTTCAGAGCCTGTTATTGGTCTATTCAGAGAGTCAACTTCTTCCTGGTTTAGTCTTGGGAGGGTGTATGTGTCGAGGAATTTATCCATTTCTTCTAGATTTTCTAGTTCATTTGCGTAGATGTGTTTGTAGTATTCTCTGATGGTAGTTTGTATTTCTGTGGGATCGGTGGCGATATCCCCTTTATCATTTTTTATTGCATCTATTTGATTCTTCTCTCTTTTCTTCTTTATTAGTCTTGCTAGCAGTCTATCGATTTTGTTGATCTTTTCAAAAAGCAGCTCCTGGATTCATTAATTTTTTGAAGGGTTTTTTGTGTCTCTATTTCCTTCAGTTCTGCTCTGATTTTAGTCATTTCTTGCCTTCTGTTAGCTTTTGAATGCGTTTGCTCTTGCTTTTCTAGTTTTTAATTGTGATCTTAGGGTGTCAATTTTGGATCTTTCCTGCTTTCTCTTGTGGGCATTTAGTGCTATAAATTTCCCTCTACCCACACACTGCTTTGAATGTGTCCCAGAGATTCTGGTGTGTTGTGTCTTTGTTCTCATAGGTTTCAAAGAACATCTTTATTTCTGCCTTCATTTCGTTATGTACCCAGTAGTCATTGAGGAGCAGGTTGTTCAGTTTCCATGTAGTTGAGTGGTTTTGAGTGAGTTTCTTAATCCTGAGTTCTAGTTTGATTGCACTGTGGTGTGAGAGACAGTTCGTTATAATTTCTATTCTTTTACATTTGATGAGGAGTGCTTTACTTCCAACTATGTGGTCTATTTTGGAATAGGTGTGGTGTGGTGCTGAAAAAAATGTATATTCTGGGCCGGGCGCGGTGGCTCACGCCTGTAATCCCAGCACTTTGGGAGGCCAAGGCGGGCGGATCACGAGGTCAGGAGATCGAGACCATCCCGGCTAAAATGGTGAAACCCCGTCTCTACTAAAAATACAAAAAAAAATTAGCCGGGCGTAGTGGCGGGCGCCTGTAGTCCCAGCTACTTGGGAGGCTGAGGCAGGAGAATGGCGTGAACCCGGGAGGCGGAGCTTGCAGTGAGCTGAGATCCCACCACTGCACTCCAGCCTGGGCGACAGAGCGAGACTCTGTCTCAAAAAAAAAAAAAAAAAAAAAAAAATGTATATTCTGTTGATTTGGGGTGGAGAGTTCTGTAGATGTCTATTAGGTCCGCTTGGTGCAGAGCTGAGTTCAATTCCTGGGTATCCTTGTTAACTTTCTGTCTCGTTGATCTGTCTAATATTGACAGTGGGGTGTTAAAGTCTCCCATTATTATTGTGTGGGAGTCTAAGTCTCTTTGTAGGTCACTAAGGACTTGCTTTATGAATCTGGGTGCTCCTGTATTGGGTGCATATATATTTAGGATAGTTAGCTCTTCTTGTTGAATTGATCCCTTTATCATTATGTAATGGCCTTCTTTGTCTCTTTTGATCTTTGTTGGTTTAAAGTCTGTTTTATCAGAGACTAGGATTGCAACCCCTGCCTTTTTTTGTTTTCCATTTGCTTGGTAGATCTTTCTCCATCCCTTTATTTTGAGCCTATGTGTGTCTCTGCACATGAGATGGGTTTCCTGAATACAGCACACTGATAGGTCTTGACTCTTTATCCAATTTGCTAGTCTGTGTCTTTTAATTGGAGCATTTAGTCCATTTACATTTAAAGTTAACATTGTTATGTGTGAGTTTGGTCCTGTCATTATGATGTTAGCTGGTTATTTTGCTCATTAGTTGATGCAGTTTCTTCCTAGCCTTGATGGTCTTTACATTTTGGCATGTTTTTGCAGTGGCTGGTACCGGTTTTTCCTTTCCATGTTTAGTGCTTCCTTCAGGAGCTCTTGTAGGGCAAGCCTGGTGGTGACAAAATCTCTCAGCATTTGCTTGTCTGTAAAGTATTTTATTTCTCCTTCACTTATGAGGCTTAGTTTGGCTGGATATGAAATTCTGGGTTGAAAATTCTTTTCTTTAAGAATGTTGAATTTTGGCCCCCAGTCTCTTCTGGCTTGTAGAGTTTCTGCTGAGAGATCAGCTGTTAGTCTGATGGGCTTCCCTTTGTGGGTAACCCGACCTTCCTTTCTCTCTGGCTGCCCTTAACATTTTTTCCTTCATTTCAACTTTGGTGAATCTGACAATTATGTGTCTTGGAGTTGCTCTTCTCGAGGAGTATCTTTGTGGCATTCTCTGTATTTCCTGAATCTGAATGTTGGCCTGCCTTGCTAGATTGGGGAAGTTCTCCTGGATAATATCCCGCAGAGTGTTTTCCAACTTGGTTCCATTGTCCCCGTCACTTTCAGGTACACCAATCAATCAGACGTAGATTTGGTCTTTTCACATAGTCCCATATTTCTTGGAGGCTTTGTTCGTTTCTTTTTATTCTTTTTTCTCTAAACTTCCCTTCTGGCTTCATTTTATTCATTTCATCTTCCATCACTGATACCCTTTCTTCCAGTTGATCGCATCGGCTCCTGAGGCTTCTGCATTCTTCACGTAGTTCTCAAGCCTTGGCTTTCAGCTCCATCAGCTCCTTTAAGGACTTCTCTGCTTTGGTTATTCTAGTTATCCATTTGTCTAATTTTTTGTTCACAGTATTTAACTGCTTTGCCATTGGTTTGAATTTCCTCCTGTAGCTCAGAGTAGTTTGATCGTCTGGAGACTTCTTCTCTCAACTCATCAAAGTCATTCTCCATCCAGCTTTGTTCTATTGCTGGTGAGGAGCTGCATTCCTTTGGAGGAGGAGAGGTGCTCTGCTTTTAGAGTTTCCAGGTTTTCTGCTCTGTTTTTTCCCCATCTTTGTCATTTTATCTACTTTTGATCTTTGATAATGGTGATGTACAGAAGGGTTTTTGTTGTGGATGTCCTTTCTGTTTGTTAGTTTTCCTTCTAACAGACAGGACTCTCAGCTGCAGGTCTGTTGGAATTTGCTAGAGGTCCACTCCAGACCGTTTGCCTGGGTATCAGCAGCGGTGGCTGGAAAACAGCAGTGGCTGTAGAACAGCAGATCTTGGTGAACCGCAAATGCTGCTGCCTGATCGTTCCTCTGGAAGTTTTGTCTCAGAGGAGTACCCGGCCATGTGAGGTGTCAGTCTGCCCCTACTTGGGGGTGCCTCCCAGTTAGGCTGCTCGGGGGTCAGGGACCCACTTGAGGAGGCAGTCTGCTCATTCTCAGATCACCAGCTGCGTGCTGGGAGAACCACTACTCTCTTCAAAGCTGTCAGACAGGGACATTTAAGTCTGTAGAGGTTACTGCTGTCTTTTTGTTTGTCTGTGCCCTGCCCCCAGAGGTGGAGCCTACAGAGGCAGGCAGGCCTCCTTGAGCTGTGGTGGGCTCCACCCAGTTTGAGCTTCCTGGCTGCTTTGTTTACTAATCAAACTTGGGCAATGGCAGGCACCCCTCCCCTAGCCTTGCTGCTGCCTTGCAGTTTGATCTCAGACTCCTATGCTAGCAATCAGTGAGACTCTGTGGGCGTAGGACCCTCCAAGCCAGGTGCAGGATATAATCTCCTGGTGTGCCATTTTTTAAGCCCGTTGGAAAAGCACAGTATTAGGGTGGGAGTGACCCGATTTTCCAGGTGCCGTCTGTCACCCCTTTCTTTGACTAGGAAAGGGAACTCCCTGACCCCTTGCGCTTCCCGAGTGAGGCAATGCCTTGCCCTGCTTCGGCTAGCACACGGTGCGCTGCACCCACTGACCTGCGCCCACTGTCTGGCACTCCCTAGTGAGATGAACCCGGTACCTCAGATGGAAATGCAGAAAGCACCCATCTTCTGCGTCGCTCACGCTGGGAGCTGTAGACCGGAGCTGTTCCTGTTCGGCCATCTTGACTCCCCAGCCAATACTATATTTTCTTTAAAACCAGACATAATTCATCTTCCAAGAGAGAGCTTAAAACAGAAAAAGAACACAAATTTATTTGGCATCTCCAAGTAGATGCCATAAGATATTCACCCTTAAAAACAAGAAGTTATCAAAAGAGAGAAAAGAAAATTGTAAGAAATGTCTCTTCAAATTTAAAATGTTTGCTGCAATTGAGTATTGAATAAAAGTTTTAGAAAAATCTACAATTGATGTCATCTCTTTAAAAGCAATAAAATGACTATTAAATTATGGGAAAATAGATGATGAGATAAAAAGCAATAATTAGAAAGTTAATATCCCATTTATAGCCATTATAGTAGAGAAGTAAAGTGAAAGTCAGAAAGAAAAATAATTTGAGAAAATTAATCTAAAGTACAACACAGAGCTTCTAAAATGATTCTCCTAGAAAGCAATCAATCAGAAAAACAATGAGTGACAAAAAAACGGATTTTATGTGTTTCAAATTTTGTATCCTATTTCAGAATATCATGGGTAAAAAGATGATTACAATATCTCCCATACTGAGGGAAAAGAAAACAAAACCTAAGCTAATGAGAACAACAAGCATGAATGAGCAGCAATGAAACAGCAATGAAATTCCTGTCAACTAAAAGGAATGAGAATCAGATGGATATGAGGCTTTTGAGTATCAATCCTAGGTGCTAGAAAATAATGAAAGCATGCTTCAAACTTCCGACAGGCAAAGGTTTTCAACTTACTTACTTCCTAGTCAAGCTATTTCTCAAGTATGAAGAAACAAAAAGACATTTTCATGCATTGTGGGTTCTGCCAATCTTAGCAAGAACATGAACCTCAAAATTCCTTCTCATGAACTTGATATTTGACAAAAAAAAAAAAAAAAAAAAGAAAGAAAAAAAGGAGTCTCTCAAGAAGCATATTCTAGTGTTAGGATTCAAAGACCTCCTTTCCTTTTCAGGAAAGGTAGAGGAAAAACTGTTGTACATTCACAGAGTTCTTGACATTATGGGAGACATAGTCAGTATATGGTCTCTGTCAAAAAGCAAACACAGACTGTCTCCCCCTGCAAGATTTGGGCAGTCCTAATGTATCACAAAATTGCCTTCATCCTCATTGCTTAGAAGAAGTCTGATTCTACTTCTGGTCTGATATATTATGCTGGAAGAAACTTACTTACTTACTAAAATAATCTGGGGATGCTTCAGTTAGATCAGGGGGTGCAACAAAGGTGGAGTGGAGAAATCTGCCGCTTTGTATCCAGAAATGCTCATGTGTCAGGGAAACAGAATCAATGAGGTTTCATAAACCACATGGGGGAAATGTGATGTTAAAATATGAAATAGTATTTTCAAGACAATATGAAGTACTTGAAGTAATATTTCTTAAATATATATGTTATATATAAATGTGTGTGTATATATATATATGTATATATATATGTATATATATATATATACATATATATATATACATATATATATATATATGAAGAAAGAGAATTCAGAGTGAAATTTATCATCAGTCTTTTCCTTGGCTTTTAAAAACCATATATATAACAATGAGTAATGAATAGACAGACTGAAAAAAAATCAGCATAATACAATCCTTGTATATATTTGTAATATAACTCGTTAGACTAGAAAATCAAATTTTAGGCTGTCAGCTTTCATTGTCTTGAAAGGAGTACTTGTTTTAGTGCAGACACTATTTCTCTAAATATATCATATGTGTGTGCCCTCTTCATGTCTCTTTTACTTAAGAAATCACATTTCTTACTAAACCAAGACAATATGTTTCTTTAAAAGGATTCTCTCTTCAAAGTTTTGTAAGTTTTCACAAGGAAACAAAATTTAAATATATCCACTCAATACAAGGTATCAAACATTTTAAAAATAATGCCACAGTGAAAACAACAAAAAGGAGGTAAGTTGGAGATGCAAATAAAAAGTTAAGTCTCTCAATAATGCATGCTTGTATCCACATACTCAAATCACATACACAAATATACACACTGACACACAGTTTTCTATACTTATGGATATCTGATTGATAAAATAGAAAAAATGGCTGGGCACGGTGGCTCATGCCTGTCATCCCAGCACTTTGGAAGGCCAAGGTGGGTAGATCACCCGAGATCAGGAGATAGATAGAGACAAGCCTGGCCAACATGGTGAAACCCTGTCTCTACTAAAAATACGAAAATTAGTTGGGTGTGGTGGTGGGTGCCAGTAATACTTCGGAGGCTGTGGCCGGAGAATCACTTGAACCTGGCAGGTGGAGGTTGCAGTGAGCCGAGATCGCACCATTGCACTCCAGCCTGGGCAACAGCAAGACTCCGTCTCAAAAAATATAAAATAAAATAAAATAAAATAAATAAAAAATAAATTTTGCATAGGAAATAAAACAAGTTTTTGGAGCAGATAACTTTACCATCTTCACTTCCAGCATAAATATTGACTGCACAGAAAATCATAATAATGTTACATTTCTTACTACTAAGGCAGATTTGATAAAGATATAGACATATGTGTTTACAATTTCAAATAATATTTTGGAATTATTGTTCATTTTCTCTCATTTTATCAGTTTCTGTTAGAAATATAGACACCATTAGTAATCCCAGAAAAAGAGAAATAAGAAAAAAAGAGGGAAAGAAAAGGAAAAAGGACAGGAAAGAAGGGAAAAGGAAAGCAACAGTAAAAGGAAAACAACAGTAAAAGGAAAGGAAAGAAGGAGAAAGGAAAGAAGGAAAAAGGGAAGGAAAGGAGGGAAGAGGGGAGGACAGGGGAGGAGAGGGGAGGGGAGGAAGGAAAGGAAAAAAGAGGAGGGAAGGAAGGAAGGAAGACCTTTTTTAACAGAATGCAATCTTATATACTCTGATTTATAAATTGTAAAACTTAGGAAAACCCTCATTATATACTTGGTCTTCTGTGGCCTTTTGAATTCGTAAGTTAGGTATTCCCTGGTGTCTTTTCAATGCATTATGTACTTGTTCAAATAAACATTTATTGAAGATTTTTTAATGCTAGGAATCACATCAGGTGTTGCGGAAAAGAAGAATAAGAAAGAATAACTGACCGGGCATGGTGGCTTAGACCTGTAATCCCAGCACTTTGGGAGGCTGAGGTGGGCTGATCATGAGGTCAGGAGATGGAGACCATCCTGACTAACAGGGTGAAACCCTATCTCTACTAAAAATACAAAAAATAATCTGGGTATGGTGGCGTGTGCCTGTAGTCCCAACTACTCGGGAGGCTGAGGCAGGAGAATTGCTTGAACCCGGAAGGTGGAAGTTGTGATAAGCCAAGATTGCACCACTGTACTCCAGCCTCGGTGACAGAGCAAGACTCCATCTCAAAAAAAAAAAAAAAAAAAAAAAAGAGAGGGAATACCTGCCTTCAATATTATATACAGTAGATATAAACACTAGTTTTATACACTTGTTGCAAACATTCTCTTACAAATAAAATTATTCAGTTATAGAGATTTTGTGCCTTGTTTCTTATTCACTAATCAAGCTTTTACCTAACCTGTTACTCATTTCCAGAGGCAAAATTTTATACCACAAAATGTATGAGTAATCTTCAACATGATTTCTCTGAAATCCATAGATATCTCTTGTACAATCAAGAACTATGTCTTATCTGTCTTGATAATTTTCTATTAAGGAATATAAGATACTATATTCGGCAATGATGTTAAGAATTTGTGGACTGAATAGAAATGATTTCTTTTTCTATATTGTGCTTTCATAAGATGCTGAAAGCCTATAGCATACCTTTTAGAAAACTGGCCCTTTAAACTAGAAACTGGTTTGGAATACTAACAGTTTTCTTTTTATAAGAAACCTTGAGACATATATCATTTGATCTGAGTCACAGTATTAATTTTATCTTCCTGAGTAATTGGCCAGTTTTTAGCCCAAGGACATCGTAGATTATATAACTAACCTAGGTTTTCCTCTGTGGTTTAAAAGTCTAGATTAAATTTTCAGTCTGATAATAACAAATATCTGCAAATTTTATAGCAACCTCATCCTTGGCTGCATTTTAAATCTCTTTAATTAACTGTTTTACTATCTTCTTTAGTGCCTATTTTTAATCAGATATATCCATCTCTATTTTATACATTTTTATAATTATCTTAATTTTTAATAATATGAATTATAAATATTACACTAAAGAAATTTAGGCTAGTAGAAGTAGTCAAGTTAAAAATGAGGAACATTTGTCTAAGAATGTTTACTTGTTAAGTTATTCCTGCATTCAACTACCAGTAAAATGCACACTATAATACTCAGAATAAAATGATAAGTAAGGTATTGTATTCAAGGACTTTACACATGAGTAGGAAGTCCAGATTAGTTAATGGACAATTTAAATAAAGAGTTAGTTATACATACAATGAGTAAGGGTGCTCTGATCATATTGTTTCAAGTCAAAATAGATAATTAATTAGGAATGATTTCCAAAAAGAAGTGATGCATAAGCTGAACTGTGAAGAATAGTTAGGCAAATATAAAAGGAAAAATTACATTTCAGCCAAAAAAGTGAAATGTGTAAAAACACAAATGTGAAAGGGAAGATAGCATATTTGGGTAGCAAACCACAAATTTTGTTGGAAAATAAATTAATTTAAATGATATTGGATTATCTCATGAAAGTATTTTAAAATATGAAAAATATCCTTTTGCAGTACAAGAGATATAAGGATAATATCTAATATGACCTCTATAATCCCACTTTAAGATAATAATTCAATTAAAATTTTAATTTAATAATCAAATATTAATTTGGGATAATTTCTTGTCTATGTCTGGCCCTATATACTTAAAGTTAGCCCAAATTTCAAATAATAGAGCTGTATTAGTCTATTTTCTTATTGCTATGAAGAAATACCTGAGAATGGATAATTTAAAAAGAAAAAGAGGTTTAATAGACTTACAGTTCCACATGGCTGGGGAGGTTCAGAGTCATGGTGGAAGGTGAAGGAGGAGCAAAGGCACGTCTTACATGATGGCAGACAAGAGAGCATGTGCAGGGAAACTGCCCTTTATAATACCGTCAGATCTCGTGTGACTTACTATCATGAGAACAGCATGGGAAATACCCACCCCATGATTCAATTTATCACCCACCCTGTCCCTCCCACCCATGACACGTGGGGATTATGGGAGCTACAATTCAAGATGAGATTTGGGTGGGGACATAGCCAAACTATATCAAAAGGTACAAACTAACCTGATAACCTTTTATTATTGAATTAAAAAGCTTTGAGATTTGATTTTAGAAAACATGAGGACAATCTAGTCATTCAGGTAAATCACACAGAAAGAGCTGTTAAGAGAAGAGAAAAAAATATTAATTTAACTACAGAAGTTACCACCTCAATTTCTGTTATTCTGATTTTGAATGCTAATTTATTGCATGCTTTTGTTTTTGTAAGTTTTTCTGGGGAAATTAATTATTTTATATTTTTCTTTTTTTAACAAATGCCTTTAACCTGCATGGGCATGTAAATATTCCATGTGTCAACTTAAAGTGCATGCTAAACTTACATTTAATAGAAAATTTCTCAGCCCTAATAGTTGCCAACTCTATGTGCATGTGGTAATGGAATGCTAAAGCAATCAAACAAAAATATAATTTAGAATGATAGATATTAAAACCTAGAGGGTACCTAAGAGAATATTTACTTCAGAATCTTAATTTTACAAATGAGAAAACTGAGAACTAGAAAGATTAATTAGTTTGTTGAAGTTCATACAGCTCATTAGTGGCAAAGCTTGTTCTAGAATTCTCTGCAGATTTGAGGTGGTTTTGCTTTGCTTCATTTTGCTTTGCTTTTTGCATTTTCTACCCCCTTTTGATTATTTGTGTATAAATATTTCTAGCAATATATCAAGTTCATTTTTCATAGTAAGCTAAATGAGCCTAGGGGCAAAGCTATGTTTTGTGGAGGTTAAATATGAGATTCTCCATAAGAACAATTATTTTTTTATTTTTATTTTTTTTTCCGAGACGGAGTCTCACTCTGTCGCCCAGGCTGGAGTGCAGTGGTGCGATCTCAGCTCACTGCAAGCTCCACCTCCCGAGTTCATGCCATTCTCCTGCCTCAGCCTCCCTAGCAGCTGGGAATACAAGCACCCACCACCACGCCAAGCTAGTTTTTTTTTTTGTATTTTAGTAGAGACAGGGCTTCACCATGTTAGCCAGGATGTTCTCGATCTCCTGACCTTGTGATCCTCCCGCCTCGGCCTCTCAAAGTGCTGGGATTACAGACATGAGCCACCATGCCTGGCCTAGAATAATAATTTTTTTAAAATGCAGTTACCACCTAAAATTGGGAGAGCCCCTTTCCGTGACGTGGAAGGAGAATTGCTTGAACCCGGGAGGCAGAGATTGTGGTGAGCTAAGATGGCACCACTGCACTCCAGTCCTAGTGACAGAGCACGACACTGTATCAAAAACAAAAAAAAACCCTTAGGCATTCAGGAAAAATACAGTTCACATAATTTCTCAAAAAATAACCCTTTATGAAAGTAAAACAAAAGATAATATTTTTGAATTTTAAGTGAAATCAAATGACCCTTCTCCATATCTTTACTCCAATAACCCTAGCTAGAATGTAAGCCCTAATAGAAAACAGTTCTTGTTTTTTGTGGTCTGATATCTTAAACAATTGTCATATATAGAAAATCAAATATTTGTGAATACATTAATAATTTTTAATTAAAAGAGTATACCCTATAAATTGAAAGGTATTGACATTGATAGTTACTAGTTATTTGTGTGAATATTATTATATTAATAGATGCTTGTTTTTACAAGACATATAAATTTTTTATTCAAATGTTTAGACATTTGAGTCACTAGTACCTCTTTTTTTTATGACAATTGACCAACAGTGTAACCTTGCTCCATCTCTTTAGATGTCATTTGTGAAAGGTAGCAAACTTTCCAATGCATCGTATGTTTAGGCAGGAATGCATTAGCACCTCCATGTACAGGCACTTAGTCCTGCCTGTAGTAGTGTCTTATCTATTAGTTTCATTAGACATGTTTTTTCATTCAGCACTCCCAGGAAACGACTTTAAAAAACGCATTGGTATTTTTTTCCTGTTAGCTCAGAAATAGAGATTAGATTGTCAGATTTAATACAGATTAAAGTTTGTTCCAAAAAGCATTTCCCCTTCCACAAGACATGAAGCCTCTGTTCAAGAAATATTAAAAATGAAAAATGGTATCCTAGCAACTTTTCATTCCATGATAGTTTCAGTTAGAACATAGTTTTCAATGTAGAAGTTCAAATAGAATTCAGTAGCAGCTTTAATGATAAGCTGACTTGTACAATAAAAGATAACACATAGGTAGTCAGTTCAATGATTTCCTCAGAAGCAACAGATTCTGCAAAGTTAATATACAAGAAAATATTATTGCATTATTTTATTACAATTGAACAGAATACTATAGGCTATTTCTACTTGCTTGTGTGTGTGTGTTTTTTTTTATTAAGTGAAGGCAAGTTTATTAGGAAAATAAAGGAATAAAAGAATATCTACTCCTAAAGCAGAGCCACACTTGTGATTTAATCATTTAGATTCACACTGCATTTTAAACTTTGAGATAAAAGGAAAGAACAATGAAAAAATGAACTCATACCATTTTTCACACCTGAGAAGAGAGAGAGGATATGGCAAAAGTCATTTCCATTATTTTGCCAAATTGTACTAAAGATTCTAAAAGAATAACAAAATCATAGGAAGATTAATATTGTTATAGGCAATATACAAAAATATAATATATTAAAGTTTAACAAGTTAAAATCAATCACAATACTTTATATCCGTGCATGTAGTTTTGCAACTATATATTTGTACTTTTATGTCATAAATTTTATTAAAACCTTTTGAAACAATTTCATCTTGAACTCTATTTGTATCTGTGAGTTTGTATATTATTACAAAAAATAGTTCATTATGATTAATTTTTCTCCTTTACTGGAAAGGCCTGATTATTAGGATTTTAAATATGTTTAAAAAGAGTAATACTGCTGTGTTACTATTCTTTTGAGCACTGAACTGGATTTTTTCGTCACTTGGTACAAACTTTTTAAGAAAGGTCAACATTATTTTTGTTATTTTTACAACAAATTAGTTAACACAATTGTATTTGTGAAAAATAATTAGCAAATAACATTGAATTTGTTATGGTACTTACAGATAATTTAAGCTCAACTTGATATTTTATTATATTAGATTGAAACTCCCACAATACGTTTTATTCTATGTATATATATATATATATATAGCCAAGGACTTTCTCTGGGTGCCAGAGAGAAAATTGTAAACAAGATAAACATGATATTGCCTTCACATTGCTTTGCATGTAATAGAGCAACAGAACACTAAATATTCAGTAACTCTTGGCCTGAAATATAGGAAATTTTCAAAAATTTTATTAAATTTAATTGTAGAGTGTCATTTACTAATTTAGGTTCTGTGCTCCATACTCGAAAGACCTTGACTAAATTGTAGAGTCACCTAATAATGTAGGAGTTAGAGGGTGCACAATGAAATTATCTCTTCAAATTTAATTATCATAAATAAAAGATTATATATTTAGATTAGCAATTCTACATGTTCTCTTATTACCATTTATTACTGAGTGCTCACTATTTGATATAGACATCCTTAAGAAACATACTCTAACAATAATACTAAATATGCAATTATATCTCATAGAGGAAAAATATAGGAAGTTCTATTCTCTTCTAACTGGGACATAGAGGAGAGAGCAAAGTGAATTCACAGAGTACTGATGCTTGATCAGACTTTCTGACTATTCATCAATTTTCATATGCAAATAAGAGCCAATAGTAAATGTCATTACACATGGTGAACATAAAAAATTTCCAGAGGACTTTACATTATTACAAAACTTTACCTACATTATATTCCCTTAAAGTGTATAGCAGATATTACCTTTTTAGTTTAAGAAAAATAAATAATTTAATATATATCTATTATGCATGTACAAAAATAAAACAAATGCTTCCATTAGAGGACATTGCACACCGCTTTCCAAACCTTAGGGTTTTATTTTTTTTCCTTTGCTTGTTCTGTTTTCTGCCTGTGTAATGGTCTACAAAACATCAAATGCTTTCTCACTCGGATCTTCCTGAAATTATTCTTGCTTTTCAAGAATCCAAGAATATTCCTCTTAATGAAACCTGTTTGGATCAACGTTGTTAAAAAAAACTCTATCTCTTGAATCAAACACTCTAGTGCTTTGTTTATATTTATCAAATGAAGGTTATCTCATATTGATGTTTATTAATGTTTAATTCTTTTCTGTGTTACTGGAAGCTGGTTGATGACACAGGCTCTTTTTAAGGCACTTTATTCAGAAACAACACTTTGTTCATCCAGAAACAACTAAAAACAGCTACCATTGCAACCAAACCCTATTACCTGCAAGATACTTTACACACGGTAGATGTAAGAAAATATTCTAAAAGAAAAATTCTAAAAGTAAGACACTTTTTAGAGAATTAGTGTTGATCAACATAATATTTGAAATATTGTGGACAAACTAGAGTAGATTTAGAAAACAGGGGCACAGTTTAATTCAATTTAGTTCATTGAGAAATAATAAACAGCCTTAATTTGTTTAGATTTAATGAGGTGTGATTTGAGGTGTGACTGTATCACTGAGAAAAATAAATAGAAAAAAATTGTCAAATTTTAAGTACTTCTGTTTATTTTATATAGGTAATGCTTGATTTATTTTTTCCCCAACAAAAATGAGAAAAAATTTGCTGTTCTATTATAAATTGTTTTTTATTCTAGGACAATTTCTTTTTGGTTTTATTTGAAGAAGAGAAAATACTATATTTATAAATAAAATATGTACATTATTATAATAGATATACCATACCTTTGGGGTTTTCAATGCTTTTCTATAAAATGTTTATTTGAATACTATCAACTTTAAAAAAATAAAAACATCTTGGCCAACATGGTGAAACCCCAACTCTATTAAAAATACAAAAATTAGCTGGGCGTGGTGGCAGGCGCCTGTAATCCCAGCTACTCGGGAGGCAAAGGCAGGATAATTGCTTGAACCCAGGAGGCAGAGGTTGCAGTGAGCCAAGACTGTGCCACTGCATTCCTGCCAGGGCAATAGAGTGAGACTCCATCTCAAAAATAACAATTATTATTATTATTATACTATTTATTGATAAGTCTTGCAATACTACAAAGATATACATGAGAAAAAAGTGAGTGGTATTTGCTATTTTGAAGTCATGTCTCCACATTTTGATTCGCATGTCTTCCTAATTTGACCATTTTTTCAGAGTAAAAGACAAATATTACACCATTATCGTCATTAAATAGAATTCACTCAAAATTATTTTTAAAATATAAG